>NC_000004.12:83921381-84072896 GCF_000001405.40 Homo sapiens | reverse complement strand
GAATACAGTACTAGAATTCTCTCATTTTAGTAGCAGATTATAATTTTTAATTTGGGTATGCACTCGCCTACTTTCTCTCCACGTGGTCTGTGGGGTGCTACCCCCAGTTTTAGGGGTGGTACGCATGACCTGGCCATAAGCAAATTAATGCAGCTAATTATTTTGGTGATGGCAGTAAATCCAGGGCTGGGCACATGACCTAAGTCCATGAAGTCAGAGTGAATCTCAAGCCTGTCTTATCCAACTTGGACCTGAAAGAATATCTGGCTGGAGCAACTGCAGCTAACTTGTCATCATGCCGAGCTGAAAATGAAATCTATATAATATGTAGAGGAAAGTAGAAAGCAATCTAGTCCTTAGGATACTGTTTGGAATCTGAATTTAGATCTACATGAAAGTTCATCTCTCTCTAGACTTACTATCATATAAGCCAATATATTCCTTTTCTTAAAAGTTTGTTTAAACAAAGTCAAATCGAGATTTCTGTCACTTGCAACTGAAAGAGTTCTGCCTGATACTTGTGCTACACACAGGCAGTTTGTCTGTTGTCAGGGCTTTGAGCCTGGCATAGAGCTATAAAAAGTAAACATATTTCACAGAGACCTTCTAATAAGCTGCTCCTTATGTAAGAGAGGCATCGTATTTACCTCCAGTTCTTCTATTAAACATCCTTCCTTTTCAATCACTTAATTTTTCCTCTCCCTGTTAAGGAACAACTTAATATTTTGAAATCATTCTTTACTAAAGCAACATCCAACTGGTTACTGTGTTCATTCATTTTTCAACCCATACTTCAACTTTGATATAATTAATAATACCCTCTCACCTATAAAGCTACTCTTTCCAACTTACAACCAAGAAATAAGCTTCTCATCCAGCTTTCTGAGGTTCTCTGTCCTTTATAATTGTGGGCAAGAGTCCAGTTAGCAGAAGCACTAATTGATCCTTAATGAGTACAAAGATTATTTTGTCATACTATCTCAGAGCTAAACTATCTTGGAGCTAGACTTATTTTAAAATAGATTAGCTCCTTGCTTATCTTTTGTCCTCTTTAGGAAACAACCAACCAAACCATGTGTGGCACTTTTGTGCCTGTGCTCCAATTTCAACTTCATTCATTATATTGCTATTA
Organism: Homo sapiens; assembly: GCF_000001405.40. NCBI lineage: Eukaryota > Metazoa > Chordata > Mammalia > Primates > Hominidae > Homo > Homo sapiens. The sequence goes on along the minus strand of NC_000004.12, from coordinate 84,071,764 downwards.
AGCAAAACAAGTATATTTTTAAATAAATGTCATTTACCATAAGAAACTGTCTACCTAGACAGTTCACTTATCCTTCAGCAATAAAAAATTAATAGGATTTCAATAGGAGTTATTTTTAAAAAGAATGCGATAGAAAAAAGGGAAATACTTTATTGCTTGTTTTTCCTATTCAGTTTCAAGTAATTTCTTTAGAAACAAGAAAAATGGTAGTGGCAAGCATATTTAGAACATGTAATGGTGAGTTATCGTTTCCCTCTCTTCCTCTATGAAAAAATAATAAAGTATTAATAATAAAGGCTGCTTTCTCCCCAAGGAGGAGATATTTGGCTACATTTAGATAGGCAAATATTTTAGAATGTCTTTAAAGTATAAAATAAACAAAACAATTTTCTTTCTCAGGAAGGGTTATTTGATATACTTCTGTTTTGCCTTCTATGCATATTCTCTTTAATGAGGTAATACTGTCTGTTCATTTCCTGTCTGGGGACTTTTTGCAGAGATAGATATATTCCAAGCATGTTTATTTACCAGCTACCATTTCTTTCTTCAATTCCCAGGAGGATTTTTTTCTACCCACAGATTATAATGAGGAGAAAAACTGTTAAAACACAACAGTGTCCTTTATAATCATAAGTGAATTGCTTGCTTATGTGCTTGTTTTGGCTAATTTTTAATTTTTATCAATTAATTTTTTTTCTTTTAGATGTCAGTAAAGCAAATAAAATTTGAGGTTTTTAAAAATCACATTCTCCCACAATATGACCACATTTTACTACCAAAGTCTACAGGGAACCTTTGTTTTTTGTAAGCAGGGTGATGTTTAGATGTTGCCTCTCTTGGTCATGAGTCCTTTTTCTTTTTTCTTTATCCTTTCCCCAGCATCCTTTTCTTTTCTCTCCTAGTTTCCACAAATCCCAGAAAGCCTTTTGTTCACTGTCAGGTCAACAAGAAGCCAAATTAAAAACTAACAACTTTTGAATTTCAACAGCCAGACAAAGTGAATGTAGACTCAGAAGGAAAAAAAAAAAAAAGGAAAGAAAGAAAAGAGGGAGAAAGACCCTAAGGAAAGAAAAGCCCAGCTGAGGGATTTGGAGGGCAGCAGCTCTGGAGGGGCAAGGCCGCTCGTTTGATGTGGGAGGTCCGAGCACAACCTGCAGGGGTGCTCTCTGGGACATCTCATTAACCGTGTCATCAAAGCCCCCTCAGGTCCAGCGAATCATAACATTATCTCTGACATTACCACACAGATACGAGGTTCCCGAGGCAGTCTATAAACATGCCTGTACTAACCAATTCATCGTGGCTTGACACCCCGGCAAGGGCTGGATGCCCTTTAGTGAGCTCCGTGAATTGCCCCAGTCATTCATCAAAGTTTCTTGGAGTGCATTTCACACAGCATTAAATTTAATTAAAGCAACATTGACTGCATTGTAATCCTCGGGAGGCTCTTTGTCAGAGGGATCTGGAACACTTTCAGCTTAAAATTTCTATTGTTTCGTTGGAGTTTTTCTTGGTTGTTGGGTTTTGGGTTTGAACTATTTTTTTTTAAGGTTGGATATCCGAATCAAATTGAAGTGGTGTTGGCTTCCCTTTCATTATTCTTTTCTTTTTTTGTTTTTTCTTTTTACCGTTTTCTTCTTCCTCTTTTTTGTTAAAAAAAAAAAATCCAAAATCAGAAGAACTAAAAGTTTGTGATAGAAGTAGTTTTAAGAAAGTGGGTTGGTCAGTCGCGGTAGCTCACGCCTGTAATCCCAGCACTTTGGGAGGCTGAGGCGGGCGGATCACAAGGTCAGGAGATCAAGGCCGTCCTGGCCAACATGGTGAAAACCCGTCTCTACTAAAAATATAAAAATTAGCCGGGCGTGGCGGTGCATACCTGTAGTCCCAGCTACTTGGGAGGCTAAGGCAGGAGAATTGCTTGAACCTGGGAGGCAGAGGCTGCAGTGAGCCAAGATCACGCCACTGCACTCCAGCCTGAGTGACAGAGCAAGACTCCATCTAAAAAAAAAAAATGGGTTACAATAAGTTAAGTAGCTTTGTGATCCCTATAATGCCATCCATACAAAAATCAAGAAAATAGGGTGCGCACAGGCATACAAAGACACTTCAGCACAGAGATGCACTCACACCGACACCTACCTGGGGAGAATGGTGTGCCGCAGGCTTGGAAAGCATCACCTAAGCATTGCATTTCAGTCACAGATTACTTCAAAGGTGTTAGTTCAAAGTCTGAATGTTTTGAGGTTAGCGCTTGTACACAGTTCTCCTGGACACCCGGTGTCCTAGTGATGTTTTAAATTAATGCCCTCTATAGGTTAATCTTAGGGAAAAAAAATGTCTTTTCTTTTCATCAGCAAAGAAAACTTGATGGCCAGGAGAGGAGAGCATGCCCAAGAAGCCAATGAGCTGTTCTGATATCCCTTAGAGCTTGTACTGTCGCTGAGTTATTTATGGAGCAAGCCGATATGTGTGAGAGAGTGGGTATGAATGTATGTGGAGCAATGGGGGTTAGTTAGGCAGGAAGGGAAAGGAAAGGAAAATGAAGAATAAAATGAAATGCATACGGAATTTCAAAGCATGCCTTTACTTGGTGATATTTTCTAGCTACTTTCCGAAAATTCTATGTATAACTCTCTTCCTACATCTCCTCCCACAAAAGTGTATAGAATCATCCAAGTAAGGTCAAGTGATGTAATCTAAGTATAGAAATTTAGGGGCAGGGCAGTATAATCTGGTTAAACTAAGCTGAGATTGGTCTAATTGGAGGGTTAATAGTTTTCTTTCAGGGACTGTTCACACTAGTTTTATTTGTTTGTTGTCACCTTTGTGTGACTGTATTGGATAATTTGATATCTCCATTAAACTTTCCTGTGTTCATTCTATAAATTCAGTGAATGAACCCTAGTGGGCATTACTATGTAAATCTACATATATCTAATCTATTTTGCCAGAAAATGATGTTACTTAAGCTTTCTATTTTAATTTTTTTCATCTGCAAAATGAAAATAGTATCTATCTTACTCAGATCCTAAGGATACTGTAAGGATCAAACAAAATAATGTGTATAATGTATATGAAAGCTCTTTGAATAGAAAAAAAGTGCTTTATAATTGTAAAATGGTTTTTAAAGTGCAACATCAACTAAAAATGTGATTTTTTTCTAAATTAAAACATTTATCATCCTGATGAATGATTTGAAACTCAAAGTATCACTTACTACCCTTTGAATTTATAGTCTAATGAATAAGGAATAAGAGTGGAAAGAGGAGGATGAGAAATTAGAACACATTTGGGACAAACAAAGGAAAAAAAATTAGATTTAATATCACATAATCACGTAGGGGAAAAAGAGATCATAAGTGAAAAGATGGTTGAACCATGTTTAGATACCATGTGCATAGCAGATTAGAAAGGTCTGTAGGAGGAAATCTGGTTTGGGGTTAAAAAACAATTTATTAACTCCACATTACCTTTCAATAGATGTATCTAATTATTAAAGGAAGAGGGATATTTACAGTGTTGTGGTGGAGAGCCCATGGTGTGGGGTCAGATAGGTCTGGACACAAACCCCAGCTCCACATCTTACTAGTATGTGACACTGGACAACTTGTTGATGTTCTGAGCCTCGGTTTTCCTTCCATAGTGCAGAAATAAAAATGGCTTCGTCTCAAGGTGCTTATACTTTGTTACAAGGATTGTAGAAATTAATGTATGCAGAGCTTTTAGGAAAGATATTGGCAGTTTGCAAACATTTTGAGTTGGAAGGAAAGACTTGAAAGTAGAAGGTGTTTGGATGGTATGATAGAATCTAACTAGTTTCCAGAAGATTAACAATAGCTAATCTAAGAGCTACCTTCTGAACCATGAATGCATATTCCTTCAACGGCCCACAACCCCTTTGTCTAGAATTGAAGTACTGATTTCACAAAAACTTTTGGTGGGCTTTCAAGAAAGAGGAAAAAGTCATTACCCTCTGAAAGCCAGTGTGTAACATCAATACAGAGTGGGATTAGAGCAGAGCTATGTAAGGACCATGGAAGGAAGTAGAAAGATGCCTAAGCCTGTGAGGCTCTTGGGAAACTGGATTGACTATATCAGTATCAACATAGGTAAAGAAAGTAGTGTATCTATAAAGGGAATTACTTAGCCGTGTAAGTTTAGAAACAGGCAAGTCAGGTAGGCAAATATTGTTAATGACCAGAGTAGCATTCCGTCAGAGAAAGAGCTTTAGCAAAGGAACTTTAAGTACTTGAGGTTCTCTTGGCAAGGGAGAGGCTCCATGGCAAGACGGATGCATCGGATCTCTTAGCCTGATCTAGTTCAATATTCACCTGCCCCTACTTCCACGTTTGATTCCACAAATCATCCAATGAGTGTGCCATTCGTATGGACTTTGAGTATTTCCAATATTTGTAATCTAACTTTCTTACTGTATACAGGTACTCTTGGTGTTTTAGCTAGCCTTTTCAGCTTTCTACCTGTCAGGCCAACCCTTGGTATTTTTACAAATCAGCTTCCTGAGGGCTAGATTTTTTACTGTAGTATGGCCACTATATCAGCCAGCATTCACCCAGAGAAAGAGAACCAGGAGGAAATATATATTAAATGATTTGTTACAAGGAATTGGCTTCCACTATTGTGGGGGCTGGCTAGGCAAGTCCTCAGGGCAGGTTGTCAGGAAAGGCAAGCTGGAACTCTTGACCGTGAGCTGAAGCTGCTGCCCATAGACAGAATTTCTTCTTCATCCAGGGACACCTCAGCTCTGCTCTTAAGGCCTTTCATCAACTGATAAAATCAGGCCCACCTAGATGATCTAGGATAATCTCACTCACTTAAAGTTGACTGATAATGAACTTTAATTGCATCTATAAAATGTCTTCACAACAATACTTAGATTAGTGTTTCATTGAATAACTACAGACTGTAGCATATCGAAGCTGACACATAAAATTAACCATTTTATTCACCAAGTGAAGACGGAGGGCTAGAATCTAGACTGCTATATATCCCAAAGTAAGATTGGCTACTATATACTAGAATACCACATACCCACCAAAGTGAGAGTGAGAGCTAGACGTTATAGTGTGATATATCCACCATGAAAATCAAAGTCGCCCAGTGGGGCAACTGTGGAGCAGGTTTGCTGTCTTTGTCCTGCAAACCTCAAAATCACCACAGGAATTCTCCACATTTCTACAGAGGCCCCTATAGTTTATATTGCAAATTATATAATCAGTATATCCAGAAAGCAACAGTGCCTACGTCCTAAATAAACTGGCTGTATTTAGGTTATCTTATTCATCAGATTTAATCTGCCTCTCTGAGTCTCATATTTTTAACATTAAAAACTAATCCCTTTACCTGTGCTGTGATCACCAATTGCCTCCACCTTCTTGGGAATCTCATGCTATCAATAACCTTTTTCTCTTCTCTTTATCTGGCCTGGATGGTCCTTTCTACATGTTTTAAAACTTCATCCAGGCCGGACACAGTGGCTCACGCCTGTAATCTCAGCTCTTTGGGGGCCCGAGGTGGGTGGATCACCTGAGATCGGAAGTTCGAGACCAGCCTGACCAACATGGAGAAACCCCATCTCTACTAAAAATACAAAATTAGCCAGGCGTGGTGGCACATGCCTGTAATCCCAGCTACTCAGGATGCTGAGGCAGGAGAATCCCTTGAACCCGGGAGGTAGAGGTTGCGGTGAGCTGAGATCTCACCCTTGCACTCTTTCCTGGGCAACAAGAGTGAAACTCCATCTCAAAAAAAAGAAAAGAAAAACAACTTCCTCCATCCTCTCATTTGAAAAACAAAACAAAATCTCTCTATCCAGCTTCTTCCTGCTACCTTCTTCTTTTTCAGCCTGACACCCCAAAAGAGTTATCTGTAGATGATGTTTCCATTTCTTGGCCTACCCTTCCTATATAATGCATTCCAATAGTTCCACCACAGTCACAAGTGACCTCTATGTCACCAAATCCAGTAGATGCTTTAGGATTCAGCTAACAGCTACATCTAACACCATTGACCATTCATTCCTTTTTATAAGACCCTTTTCCATCGGCGTCCTTGTTTTACACACTCTTCTGGTTTCCTTCCTACCTTTTTGGACACTCTTCCTCAGCTCCTGTTCTTGCTCCTTTTGCTTTAACTAGACTTCAGTTGTTGGAGTTCATTAAGGTCTGTTCTGGGCCTTTTTCTTCTGGCGCCTGGCTCCAATTATCATCCATATGCTGATGATTGTCAAATTTATAACTCTACCTGTATCAGCTAGAAATAGTTTGTTTCTGCAATTAATAAAAAACAGAGTAGCTGAAAAAATATAATTTTATTTTGTTTTTCATAAAGTTGGGAGGTAGCTTTTGCTGGCATATTTTAGTTGTTCAATGACATCTTGACTGAAGTGTCTATGATTCTCTTGCCTGTTCTCTGATGGCAGTAATATGGCTGCAAAAGTTCCATATTCACATCCATATTCAAAGTGATAGAATAAACCAGAGGTGAGATAGTATCTATATCAGGAAAAAAAAAAAAGGTTTCCTGATAATTCCTTGACAAACTCAAGCTTATGTCACATTGGCCAGATCTTTGTTCCATGGCTATCCTCATATGCAAAAAGATAAGGAAACTGAAAATATTGCTTATCCAGCCTCTATAGTAGAGGCTGGCAAAAGAGAAAAGAGTTGGGAATGGATGTTGGACAAGCCCATTAAAGTTCTTCCACACCATGTCAGACCTTTCTTCTGAGCTCCCAACTGCTTCTCAGCATCTCCGCTTGGAAAGTGCCTCAGAATCAACATACCTAAAACTTAACTGATCATGTTTTTTCCAAATCTGGTCCTCCGCCATTACTGTCTCAAGAATATGGCACAGCTATTTGTCCAGCTACAAAAGCAGAGAACCAGGGCTGTTGGCTTTGACAGTTCCCTCTCTGTTGTCCAACACATGACAAAACACACACGCACCTGCTACATCGTCAAGACCTATCAATTTAGACTTGTACATATTCCTCAAATCCCTTTACTTGTCCTAGTTTCAGCCACTACCACTCTATCCAAACTGAAATCATCTCTTTCCTGGACAGCATCCTCTTCTGCCTTCCTCTATCCAATCCTTAAAGTAATATTTTCAGAAACAGCTTAGATCATAATCCTTCTCTGATTATGACTTTCAATGACTCTTAAAATAAATGATTCTGTATAAGAGCCACAACCTGCTGCTGTCCACCTCTCCAGCCTCATCTCTCACCTGCTTCCCCTTGCTTCCTGAGCGCCTATCACACTGGCCCTCCTGGAATGCACCTTGCTTCTTCATACCTCAGAATTTTATCTTCCCTGATTTTTTTTAAAGGTCTGAAATGCTCACTTCTTTCAAGGAGTTGATTCCTACTTATCCTTCACATCTCAGCTCAAATGTCATTTTCTTAGAGCAGAGATTCTCAATCCTTAAACCAAATCATGTCCTCCCATTAAAATCACTCAAAGTTTTTAGCTCTTTTCTTTCATGGCTTGTATTATAATTTGTAATTATATATTTATTTGCACTGAAATGTAAGCCCTTTGAGAGGTGAGATCATGTCATTTATCTTTTTTGTTACTTTAGTGCCTGGCCAGTTCTAGTTGCATAGTAGGAATTAATATATATTTGGTGAATATAGCAAATATTGATACAGAATTGTGTTTATATGTTGGCAAATTTTAATCAAAGAAAAGAAAGTACTTATTGATTTCTTACTGTGTACCCAGCACTGTGATAAGTATAGATAAAAAGAGTACTGATAAATTTGAAAGGACGGGATTTGCTAACCTTTTGTCAGAAATAATTTCTAATAAATGCCTTTTGAAAGCCTCTGATACTTACCCCCATGTTATCATGTAATCCTGCTGCCCATGCCATCTGGAACATTGGGGATAATTCACTGAAGACCAGTGTAGCCACGGTGACTGCTTCTGCTGAAAGCCAGAGAGAGATTATGCAACAGCTCTAAATCTCTTGCAGCCCTGGCACTTGGGTAGTTTCCACGAAACCCATTATGTCCAATTTTCAGATCTTATAAATTCTCACTCTACCGAGACATTTCTCTCCTTTCCAGTCTCACTCTACCGAGACATTTCTCTCCTTTCCAGAGCTAGAACTGATCCCCTAGCTCTTTTACCAAACCAATTTCATCTCAGTATGATGGCTGTAGACATGGCTTTAAGGAAACACCAGCAAATAAAACTGAAATAAACTCTTCCTGCTCCTTTCTGCTCGAGATTAATGCTTGTATGTCAAAAGAAATATTGAACTTCAGATTAATAAATAAACCTAATATAGACTTCTATACCCTCTGTTCATTCCAACCATCATTTATTCCTTGAGATGAAGGTTCACCTTATCTTTCCAGAGTATATAGAGTATGATCTGCCAGCCAAAATACCACCAACTGGCTAGAGAGACCACTGAAAGACAGAATGAGTGAGGGGTCCATTTTCAGTTCAAGTGTTTACAGTAGCAGTATGCACATTTCCTGCCTCATCATTTCCATTTGTTTTATTTGTACAAATTTATGGGGCAAGTGGGAAATTTTGTTACATGTATATGATGTGTAGTGATTAAGTCAGGCTATTTAGAATGTCTATCACCCAAGTACAATATATTTTTGTTAAGTATAGTCATCCTACTGTGCTACAAAATTTGAATTTATTCCTTCTATCTTACTGTGTGTTTGTACCCTTTAATCCACTTCTCTTCATCCTCCCCCATTCTCCCCTACTCACCCTTCCCAGCCTCTGTTATCTGTCTTTCCACTCTCCACCTCCATGTGATCAAATTTTTTAGCTTCTGTATGTAAGTGAGAGCATGCAATATTTGTCTTTTTGTGCCAGGCTTATTTCATTTAAAACAATACCTCCAGTTTTATCCACATTGCTACAGATGACATGATTTCATTTTTTATGACTGAATAGTATTCCATTGTGTATCTATGTCACATTTTCTTTATCCATTCATCTGTTGGTGTACACTTAAGTTGATTCCATATCTGTGCTATTATGAATAGTGCTGCAACAAACATGTGAGTGCAGGTATCACTTTAATATATTGATCTTTTCCTTTGGGCAGATACCCAGTAGTGAGGTTGCTGGATCAAACGGTAATTATATTTTTACTTTTTTGAGAAATCTCCATGCCATTTTCCATAGTGGCTGTACTAGTTTACGTTCTCACCAACAGTGCATCAGAATTCCCTTTACTCTGAACCTTTGCCAGTATCTGTTATTTTTTGTCTTTTTCATAATAGCCATTCTGACTGGGGTCAGATGTTATCTCATTGTGGTTTTGATTTGCATTTCTCTGATTAGATTTAAACTTCTTTTCTTTAGCCAGAGCAACTCCATCTTTATGAATGGCCATGAAGCTCTGTAAGAAGTTTTTTAGGGATAGTGAACAGGTTGGGTTATGATATGAAGAATGACCACACAAATTTGTAGTGCTGGGGCTGGGCTGGCTAGTTCCTACCGCTTCAGTGCCCCCCAAATCTCCACATGCCCCTCAAGGTCCACCCTGCCTTCACCCTGTCCTTTTCTCCAGAGGCCCAGCTGACCCATCACCAGCTCCTGAGCCCTTTGGCTTCTTTTGGATTCAGGCAATAACACCCTGGATAGGAGATTGGAAGAAGCTAGAACAGTCCTGGTACACATTTCCCTCATTTCTTCCTCAAATTTGAAAAGTGCCATTTGCAACAACAACAGAAAAATCCAGAATGTACTAGCTGCTCTGCTTCATCAGGAGGAAACACGCAGCTGACTGCAGAAGGGCAGGGGATGCTGCCCCCAGCACTACCACTAGACTTCATCTCTGTTTCATCTCTGCGCCAGTTTTGTGATCCACATTAGGAAAGCAGCATTCTTCCCTTCCTTCTCATTGAATGTCTGTAGCAGCAGTTCCCGAAAGCCACTCCCAGGATGAAAAATTTGAAAGTGTTTTTGTTTTTACATTATAAATACAGATTCCCGAGTCCTGGATAGTAGACTGTGGTCTGGTGGGTCTTTGGTGAGGCCCTGAAGTCACTACTTTTCTAAGTACCTCTAAGTCTCGAAAAGAATGGAAGCCATTGGTACATATCTATGTCCCATTTCTTCAACCTCCTTCTGTTTCTTTGTATTACATTTTTGTAAAGAGATTTATATGGAACTTCTATAGGGTTGTGGATTTTCACCGTATCCTTATTATCATATAGTCATTTCCCTGTTTCTTCTATCAGATCACTTCTTTTGAAAAAAGTAAATCTTTCCAATCACATGAAATGTCATTACTTCAAAACTTCCAGGCTATGAGAATGCTTATAAGATCATACAGGAAATCTAATTCAAAACATTAAGTCACTTTTCAGTATTTGTATAAAATATATACTCTCTATGCAATAGATGTAATATGTGAGAACACAGGGATTCTCGTCAAACTTGTTCCTTAACATTTTCTTCCATACTCTTCTCACAGTTCTTTTCCTTCCTGCCATATCTGTCATCCTCCAATTGTCTGGAATCTCAGTTTTGTCTGATCTTGATTCTCAAGATAAGTTTAACCCCCTCAGCACATTTTTTTTTCCTCCAACCTATTATTTTTTAACTTTTAGAGAAAACAATCTGCCACTTCATTCTAGTATTCCTAAATCTTCCATTCTCTTCCCAAGTTAACTTTATGCTAAAAGAAACAATACTGTTACCCATGCTGTTTCAAGCTTTTTAATAGGCTTTTGAAACTATCTTTCATTTCTGCATGATTCAATAAAATTAGACAACAACTTCATGAATCTCATCAAATTTTCCACTAAGTCTCTGAGACCTGTCCCCATAAGATGGCACATACAACTAGCTGACTCCCTTTATTCCCTAGTCTCCAAGCAGACAGACAACTGCTTGACCATGTCAACAAACTGCGTGCCTCCACCAGGCTCCTGCTCAGAGAGCATGGCTTGAGAACATGACCCTTAAGTCTGGTATCATCTCAGTGTTTGAGCCCAGTTACTCTGTAATCTAGGCAACTGTGAGCAACTACTCCTATTATTTCCCCAAATCCAGTCTCATATTTTCCTGTAATAATAGAACCTACAATTTTTAGCTAAGTACATGATTCAATAAAATTAGACAACAAAATGAAGACTGCATTTGCTCCTGGGTGTAGCCATGTGAGTAAATTCTAATGATGTGTGCAACTTTGGAGAGGGAACATGCTTTTCTTCAGTTCCTCTTTGCCCCTGTGAGACTTTGCTGAAAGTAGCAGCTGGTTGGATTGTGGATATAATGGCAGGTGGTCTATGTTGGGCCATGAGGACATGGGAAACATCCTAGGGCAAACATGGTGGTTGGCTGAGGAAGACCTGGGCCTCTAAGCACTTAAGAAGAAGAATAACCATGCCAGCCTGAACCACTTATTTTCAAATGTTGTGTACATTTGAGAAAAACACACCATGTGATATGAAACATGGTAGTTTGACTGGGCGCAGTGGCTCACACCTGTAATCCCAGCACTTTGGGAGGCTGAGGTGGGTGGATCACCTGAGGTCAGGAGTTCAAGACCAGCCTGACCAACATGGTGAAACCCCATCTGTACTAAAAATACAAAACAAAATTAGCCGGGTCTTGTGGTGCGTGCCTGTAATCCCAGCTACTCAGGAGGCTGAGGCAGGAGAATTGCTTGAACCCGGGTGGCAGAGGTTGCAGTGAGCCAAGGTCATGCCACTGCACTCCAGCCTGCACAATAAGAGCAAAAATCCGTCTCAAAAAAAAAAAAACAAAAAACCCACACATGGTAGTTTGGGGTTTGTATCACTCTCAGCCAAATCTAACCCTAAGTGATTCAGATTTTGTTATCTGGCTGTGGGGTTCTCCAAGTAAACACCCAAAATGAGCCATTGGCTTAGTGGATTTGGTAGAGTTGTAGATGGATTGAAATGTTGCAAAACATTTGGTTAAATCATTTCCAGCAGGACTTTGGAAGGGAAACCATGATCTGATTGAAGCTTCAGGGAAAATTCAGGATGTTGGTGTGTGTTGGCCACTTTATGCCACTTTCAGCAAAGCCTCAGCAGAGAAAGATAAACTCAGGCCAGAGCTAGCTTATCTGCAAGTAGAAGTAGAAAAGAATATTCTTGGCTCATGGTCTACGAATTCTTGAATACCCAGTAATTTGGGGTCTTGCAGAGATGAAAAACCTAATTGCGTTTGTATCCTAAATGGACTGGTAATAAGCAATGACTGCCTAGCTACACATAGGACTGACTCTGCCCCAACATACTCTTCAAGCATCTTCTAATCATTGTTCTCTGCAAGACAGTGGGAGCCAGCTTTGAGGCAAATATCAATTCAAGGAGGTTGTTTTCAGACAGCTCTAAGGGAGCCATAATTTAGGTATGAGAAAAGAAATTAATCGCAGTGGAAGGTAAAAGTCCAAAGCTTTTGTACTTAAAAACTATTTCTAGGCCAGATTTTGGCTAGGGCAAGCCACACATGCAACAGATTGGGCACACACTGTTCATTAGAAGTTTACCAAGTTTCTGAGGGGATAATATAGCCCAAGAAACCACAAACTGGGTCTGAAAAAGTCTGGTCAGCCTCTGAAGTAATCCCTGGGCTCCAAAACCTGTGCCAGCTGGAAACAGGATATAAAAACTGTGAACCCCCCAGAAAGGCATTGTTCCAAGTGCTCACCTCACATGTGGTCATAAAGAAAAATGGAGAGAGGAGAAGGTCTCAGAGTGCAGAACCAGGGACTTTAGAGGACAAAGGTCCAAGAAAATATTTCCAGAGAACAGAAGAGAAGATCACCAGGGGTGCCAATCATAACATCTCCTTTATACTTGCCCAGAGAGACTTCATTGTTGATGCAGATTTAGTGAAAATAGTGTTTCCCATTTTTCCATTGTATTTTTTTCCTAAATTGCTTCTTTCTTTCTTTCTTTCTCTTTCTTTCTCTTTCTTTCTTTCTTTCTTTTTCTTTCTTTCTTTCTTTTCTCTTTCTTTCTTTTTTTTTTTAACTGTAGTGATTCTGTTTCTACTTCATAATTGTATATTGGGTGTGGGAGTAGAGAGGGGAGGAAGGATAAATAACTAGTAAAGATGTAAGTATATAGAGTCCTTAATTTTTTTTAACTTCTGAACTTTTCAAAGAAACTTACAATGTCAAACATACTTATTGTTCTGTTATAAAGTATCAGTACAACCTTGGATTTTTTTTCTCATTCTATAGATGGCAAGTTAATTATGTGTGATAGAGTAACCTTACTAATGTAAATGCAAAACAAAATGAGCAGAAAAAGCGAAAAGGTTCGTAAAGTTAAACGTTGTGCATTACATTATACTTTAAATGACCTCCTGCTGGTTTGGAAGGAAAACATCTAACTTTATTCTATTCTCCCTTGGTATTAGCTTCAATTTCCTTTCAGGCTTCTCAAACACACAATAAGCTTTTGATTATCAAGATTTCAAGTGCTCTACTAGACAGCCAGTGTGTATTTATGAATGGAATTACTAAAAAAGCAACTTGACTCCATCTAGGGAACGGTTTTAGTGAGCCTAAGCGATTCTCTGTGACTATAGAGGAAACTGAAAAGAAATCTTTGGCCTTATTTTCACAATTGTTTTAGTACCTCCAGGGAAAAGCACAGAAGTGTAGCAGAGAAGCATATATTACACATTTCTTGTTTGTTTATTTATACCCCACCTTATCCCAGAAAGGATTTAAGATGGCTTATGAAGAGGCATATGGTAACACAAATTCACAAGAGGTGAGAAGATTGAGGCAAAACAAAAGTGTAAGGAAGTAAAATGTTACCAGCCATCAGGTTAGTATATTAAAAGTACGGCATGAAATCATATCCATTTGCCAAAAGTGGGCCACCAATTTGACTGCTTAAAGAAGAAGATACTGTTAATTATGCTTTTAATCATCTTCATAAGATAAAAACCAACCAGTAGCTCCAAAGAAGCATCACTGTTTTGAACAGACTTGTTTCCTGTGGGTACTTATAGAATGAATTATGTCTTCAATTAACTTTATAGCAAATACTTATTTTATAACTTTATCTCTTATAACATCCCCCATTATAAGCTGATAAAATCATTCTAAGGCCCGTTTAAGTTAAAGTATTTATCATATGGTGGTTGGGGGTGGCAAAAGGCAATACTTTGGGATCCAGAAATACATACCTCTTATTAATTGACTTAATCCAAGGATAAATTCTGAAATTCCCAGAAGCATGGAAGAACTGTATGTCTTTGCGGCAATTATTTTCTTCTTTCACATTTATTGAATATCTATTAAGTTCAAAGCACAATGCTAAGCTCAAGGGTTTTTACAGTACCGTCTTAGTAACTGCCTTTATTGATGAGGACAATGACAACCTCAAAAACCAAAATATAATTATCAACCATCAATTATGATACATTGGCTAATGGAAATATTTAGAAAGTCAGCAACAATTCAACGAAGACAAGAAATTCAGTAAGGACTGGGCGCGGTGGCTCGTGCCTGTAATCCTAGCACTTTGAAAGTGCCCCTAGGAGGGGCAACTGCTTGAGGCCAGGAGTTTGAGACCACCCTGGACAACACGGCGAAATCCCACCTCTACAAAAGTACAAAAATTAGCCAGGCATGGTGGTGTGTGCCCATAGTCCCAGCTACTCAGGAGGCTGAAGTGGGAGCATCGCTTGAGCCTGGGAGGCAGAGGGAGCCAAGATCATGCCACTGCACTCCAGCCTGGGTGATAGAGTGAGAACCTATCTGAAAAAAGAAAAAAATAGTGAGTAGGATTTATCTGGCCATGGGCGGAGGTTATGTTATCAAAGGTAAAAAAGAGAGAATGATGGGAGTAGAGAAGGGAGGAGAGGGGTGAGGAAGCAGTTAGCAGAACAAACATCACACACAAAGGCCCTGAGGTAGAAGCATTTGGTACATTTGAGGGTGGGAGGGGAGGCCACAGTGGCTAGAAGTTGGAGGGAAAGGGGAAGAGGCTGAGAGATAGGGCTGGACGGACGGTCAAAGGCTGGACCATGCCAGAGCTTGTAAGACAGGATGAAGATTTTAGACTTTAACCTAAGAATAGTTAAGAGGTCATTAAAGGCTTTTAAACAGGGGGGTGGTCCAATCAGATTTGTGTTTTAAAAATTGCTCGGCGTGGCTGGGTGCGGTGGCTCACGCCTGTAATCCCAGCACTTTGGGAGGCCAAGGTGGGCAGGTCACGAGGTCAGGAGATCAAGACCATCCTGGCTAACACGGTGAAACCCCGTCTCTACTAAGAATACAAAAAATTAGCTGGGCGTGGTGGCGGGCGCCTATAGTCCTAGCTACTCAGGAGGCTGAGGCAGGAGAATGGCATGAACCCGGGAGGTGGAGCTTGCAGTGAGCTGAGATCGCACCACTGCACTCTAGCCTGGGCGCAGAGCCAGACTCTGTCTAAAACATAAAAAAATAAATAAAATAAAAAATTGCTCAGAGCAAGGTGTGGAAACTGGAAAGGTTAAGGTAGAAGTAAACGTGGAGCGAATTAGAAGGCTCTGGTGTTGCAAAAGACTCAGTGGCTAAGATTAGAGTGTCGTGGGGAATGAAGAGATGAGAATGGATTTTAGAGGTGTCTTGGGGTTCAAATCAACAGGATGGGTATTTTTGTCTTCCAGAGACTTAAATAGCTATTGACTGGCAGTGATATTGAGAATATATTTCCTAACAAGTCCTTAGGTGAAGTCATTTTAAGTGTCAAGTTAAGTACAGAACTATGTGTTGTAAAAGCCAGCTGAGCTGGGGATAGAATGAATAAAAGCTAAACAGCCTTGGAGAGAGGCCATCTCAGCCCCCCTTGAAGAGAAGTAGACAGGACCCAAGGCAGGGCCAAGATTCTCTTCAGGAAGTAATTCTCTTAATCTACCTGATTGCACAGAACCAATAACGAAGACATCAGTGTCCTCTGCCATAGAGTGTGGGTGGTAAGAATTTTAACTGGACAATTTACAAAGCAGATTTTTCTACATTAACCACTAAAAAGCTCTGTAAAACACTTATGCCACATCCAATTTCTTCAGCGTTCGGTGTAACTTCTCATGTCCTTCAACAAAATGGGCAACACAATTTTGCCTAGGTTTTCTAAATGAAGTGAGCTGCTACAAAGGACTGTCAGGTTGAAGTGGAGGTGAGTCAGCCAACAATAATGACTTTGGTTTTGGAGAAGTTGATCCTTAGCCCTTCCCTCTAACAAAGCTAGATAACAAGGTCAGTTGTCTATTAAGACCACACCTAAATTGTGATCCTAAAGTTGTGTCATCTGTGCATGAAAACTCCTTGTTCAGATCTGCCAGTAGTGATTTAAAAAGGGATACTAGAGCCTAGCCCCATATTAGCCCACTGAGAAGGTTCCCATTCTCTGTGTATCACAGAGTAGGGTATTTAAGAAAATCAATTATCAAGAGTCTTCCTGGAGTTCATAGAACTTGGAACACAGCTGGTTCCTGTTCACAGAATCAAAAATTGTAGCATAGTCAAAACCTCTAGCCCTACATGTGCTGCATGTGGAGTAGAATAATAGCTAACATCTACATAGCATTGATGTTTAAGGCACTGTTCTAAGAGCTTGATGTAGTTTCAAAACCAACTTATTTTACAAATGAGAAAACCAAGGCCTATGGAAGCTAGGAGGCCACTGAGCTAGGGTTGAACCAGACATTCTTCTCCAGTGTCTGTGCTCTTGAAGACTACACTGTTGCCTGGGCTTGCATGCACAAGAAACTGCCATTAGTATCTCTTACTTGGTTTTTCTCTCATTTTTTTCCCTGGGAAAATCGGGTGTACATCTTTTTGGCAAAAGGAAATGCAATGATGACCTGTGGACTTTGGGCTCTGAGCACATACAGAGCTTTCATGCCACAGCTCATTCATATTCAAGCCAAAAAGCTAAGGTAGATGGAGCCTTGTATATGTCATGTTCTTTACTCTCTTCTGCCACCAAGTTTGCTGAAATTTAATATGACGGCACAGTCAGGGAGCTTAATGATATTTCTCATCTGCTTCAAAATTTGCTTTATTTAAACACCAAAGCAAACCACTTGGACACTGTCACAGGGAACTGTTTTCAATTGCTTTTGTATTAAGCAACTACAGATTTTCCACCAGACTGTAAGGAAAGAAAGACACAATCCCTGTCTTCAATAGATTTGTGTTCAAAGAAAGGAACTGGCACCTTTAGTGTGGCTCTTAAAGGTACCCCCAGGAAGGTCAGCTTGTGTTTAGAAGTCAGTTGTTGGGTATCCTTGACCTGGCTTCCTATTTCTTTCTTATTTCCCTGGAGACTATCGGGCAGGAAGTGCCTCAGCTTCCTTTCTCCAACACATAAGTCTATCTGTATCCCTTCATACTTCTGGCCCTTCCAGTATCAGAGGTGGGCTCTGTAGGGGGGCCTCCAGAAGGTTGGCTGAGGAGGGGGGACCTGCAAGTGTAAGAATAAACAGATTAAACGGGACAGGAAGAATATTTACAAGTATACCTTAGTGTATAAAAGAAATAATTTACTATGAAGGTGGGGTTTCAAAAGAGTAGGAGAAATAGATATATTAAAATAAATGTTACTAGGTCTGTAGGTTAATAATTTATGATATTTGAGTAAATAAATGAAATATACACACATATATATGACTATACAGCTAGATCAACATTATACCAATCTAGGTTCTTGGTTGCTGGTAATGAAAACTGACTCTGAATAATTTAAGCTGAAAAGAAATGTCTTGGTAGGATTTTAGGTAGATCACACATTTAATGAGAAACTCATAAAACTGTCTTGGGACATAAGGCCACCTAGTATGGTTATGAAGGTTGTTTGCTGCCCAAAGGTGTTTAGCTGAGGGAATAATTAGGGGTTGAAATTAGGGGCCAACCCAGCTTCTGCTCCCCAAGCCATGTGTCCTGGTGTGTGCCACATCAACCCAGAGAAAAAGATGCCTTATGTCTTCACAAAAAGCTCTACTGGCCAAGCTGTGTATTCAAGGGCCTATGAGCACCTGGAGGATGCCTTTCTTTAATTTACGTAAGGGCATTGTCTTGGTTAGTCATGGCCTGGCTCTAGAACTAACCTGGTTGGCCTGGAGCCCCTGACCCTTAATACTCAATGTCACAATGACACTTGAACCCAAGACAGAGCCACATCTACTGAAGTGAATTTAAAACTGTTTCGCTTTATAAATTTCACTGACTCCACTGGACGTAAGGCGTGGAGTCATCAATTAGACAAGCTGAATTTACAACCTGGTTGTACATACAACCTAATTGTCAGATATGGGGAAGCGAGAATTTGGCTTTCTAACTTCTCAAAACACACGGTAGCACATTCCATGTATGTCAAAAATAATTCAGACACTAGAAAGCCAAAATTTAACCAGTTGGTTAAATTTTTTAAATTTTAAATAATCGGTTAATTTTTAAATAAATATTTTATGTTTTAAAACAGAAGAGGAAAAAATTGATTTTTGTCTGATCTTAGGGGGATGAAGGACTTTAGAACATAAAACAGAAGAAACTACAAAGACAGAGATTGACTATGCAGCACAAAATTAAAACTTTTGCATCAGCCAGGTGCAGTGGCTCACGCCTATAATCCCAGCACTCTGGGAGACCGAGGCAGGCAGATCACTTGAGGTCATGAGTTCTAGACCAACCTGTCCAACATGGTGAAACCCTGTCTCTACTAAAAATACAAAAATTAGCTGGGTGTGGTGGCCAGCTACTTGGGAGGTTGAGGTACAAGAATCGCTTGAACCCGGGAGGCAGAAGCTGCAGTGAGCTGAGATGGCACCACTGTACTCCAGCCTGAGTGACAGAGTGAGATTCTGTCTCAAAAAAAAAAACACTTTTTAGCAAGGAAACTCTCAATTATTAGGTAAATGAAAAAAAAAATGGAGAAAAGAAATAACATATAAAATAAATAAAGCTCTAATAAGTTTATCATATAAACATTTTTCAAAAATCAGTATGCAAAAGTCCTGTTAAATAAATAGGTAAAGGACATAAGCAAAAAATTCACAAGAGAAATAATGAAGGAATGTGAACAGTGTATGGCCTTTTTGATTATTTACTTCATGCTCTTGGATCCAGGCTTGCTGGGGCTGCAGAGCCGGGTCTATGAGAGGCTGTCTGGGAGCCCAGCCTGCCATACACAGTGAGGTTGGAACTGAGGGGAAGGGGGAAGAAGAATTTGGAAAAGTCAAATCCAAGAGAAATGATACTGAGCAAGAATGAGAAAGTGGACAGCCAGCAAAGGAGCACAGTCAAGACCAAGTTAGAGGTTCAGGAGTCTCTCTCATTTCATTATTTCATTTAATCCTCAAACAACTGTAAGGCAGATGTTTTTATCATTCCTATTTTGCAGTGGAGGAAATAAAATCTTAGAAAGCTGAAGGGATTTGTTGATAAAGATACATGGAGCATGTGGAAGATTCAGAATTTCACCCTACTGATGTTCATGGTTTAGCACTGGTCTCCAACTTGCCAAAAATATTTATGATATTTACAATGCGATAGAACAAATAGAACTGTGATGTATAATTCACAACCATCACAGCCAATTTCATGTACTATCATGCCTCAGACAATTGCACTTAATTTCCTCCTGGAACTCAAGAGAATGATATTGTCACGTGGGTGGGGCCTCAGAATGCTAGGGTTGGTGTGGGGGTGTTAGGATTTACCATGCCTTGTTGGGTCCCCGGCTTCTGTCCTGCCAACCTCACACTTGGCTCAACCCTTTTTTCCTAAGGAACAACGGTATAGACAAAAAAACTCCTCCCTGGGCAGAAGTGCTTCCATAGAGATGCTAAGCTCATTCTTTGAGCCTCCCCCTCCTTCCAGCCTTCCCTTTCAGGCCACCCGCCCCTCTTCCTCACTCTTTGCAGCTGCAGAATCACCACTACATCTCCACTCATTGTAAGAGACCAGACTAGGCAAATAGGAAGACGAATGGTTAGTCAGGGAAATTTGGGCCACCATGATGGGAAAGGTGCAGAGGAAAACATTATGGGCAGAGTCCCTTTGAAACACGCTGACAGTTGACAGATGAGCATCCATAAAATGACAAAGGCCTCCCTGTGTAAAGCCCTTTGCCACCAGTGCTTCTCCCTGGGAAACTAACTGCCCTCAACTGTCAGTGAAAATATTATTTTTTTTTTGGCTGGTAATTATTCTCATGCCTGTTTCTCTAGCCACAGAATAGGCTGCATTTTGTGTATGTGGGTATTCTCCATCCTGGAGGCTGCTGCACCCCCCAAGCCCCCACCCACCAATCCTCTTGATCAGAAGTGATGACTTACCCTGTTGATTAAATAATAACAACCAGGATAGTGAACTGGAGCATGTAACTGTATAAAACTTACTTATGGTTGCCAGGAATACATACTGGGAGAATCCTAGGATTTCTTAAGTGATGTCAGTGATCCCCAAGGGGCCATGAAAGAGATCTGCACATACGGAGTGTTGAGCCTGCAGCAAACAATGGGGACCAAAAAGGACACTGTATCTGTCCTCAAAGAAGCCCTGCTGATGTGACTAAGCAGTTTCTTATTCTGTTTATTTTGCCTGCCCTATTGCTTTCTGTGACAGAAAATATTAAAAAGGGAAAGGGGAGGAAAGAAGACAGAGGGAACCTGAGGGGGTCGGGATGTTGTGACAAAATTTGGCAACTCTAAAATACAGGGATCTTCTTTTCTGCAGATTCCTTTATTTTGGGATTTCTCCCAGGAATTAGAAGGAGATATCTTCCCCTCCCAGATGAAAACCTTAAATTCAGGGTCTCCCTTGATCATTTTTTCTCTAGAGCAGTGCTATCCAATAGGATTTTCTGTGGTGATACAAATGCTCCATATATGTGCTGTCCAATTGTTGTTTTCATGTGGCTATTGACCCTTGAAATGTGACTACAGTGACTAAGAAGCTGGACTTTAATTCATTTAAAATTGGATTTAAGTAAGCACATATGACTAGTGGCATGGGACAGTGAGGCTACAGGGCTATCATCGTGACCACCTCAGTGCAGTCCATGGAATATTCGACCACTGTGGGTGTAAGCCTCAGAGGAGGAACTGAAAATTAGACACACATTTCAAGTACAGATTCCTCTGAGATTCAAGCCATTCCACACAGGGTTAAGCATTGGTATGCCCTGTCAGGAACTCTCTAAAGTTACTCCCTCTTCCTATCCATGAACCTTTCCTTTAGAACTTGACTTTGGGATTTTCTACTTCAGCCTCCAGCTTGGACTGAATTTTATTTCATGTCTTTGTTTTGAAAAAGGGTGGATGCTTTGCCTTTTTTAACTTCAAGCCCATTTCAAGCTTCAAATGAGAATTCCCTCCCTGTTAGACACCTGATCTACCAACTAAGACAGTGTTTCCTGGGCTCTGAGCCCAGAAATGCCTGCCCAGCTTTTCCCCAGCTTTTTAGCTCAGCTTCTGTCTTGATCGGTGACACCTGCTGGCTTCCAGTTCCCTCATCTCTGATCTTCCAGTGTTTTCTTCCCAGCACTTCCTGGCCTTGCTTTTTAGCTTTGAGCTTACATCTGCATTTTTCTTCCTCACTCTACCATCATTAGCTTGGCTCTTTTCATGCAGTAGAATTCCTGAGTCATGCACCCAGTAGGATCCCTTTCTTGGGTAGCTTCAGAGTTCAAGTACATTTGGTATGTGAAAGAAAACTTCTTGTCACTTTCCAAATTCTTAGCATTGTTTACATACAAATTGTTTATATACAAATCTTTACAACTTTTAAGTTCCGTGACTACATTTACATTTGCTTTCACTCTTTAAGTTTTTTTTCAGTGTACTGTCACTTTCTTGCAAAATATTGTTTATATTGCTTTATTCTACTGTTTTTATTTGTTATTTCTTTGTTTTATTGTTTCACCCCCACACACACACATACACACGCACACACAACACACACACGGACCATAATAATTCACTAAATCATAGTATAAACTCTGTAGGTAGAGGTTTTTAAAATATGTGTGTCAGTATTTAGAGATATTTATGGATAGATGGTAGAGAGAGAGAGAGAGAGAGAGAGAGAGAGATACATAGATTTTTTTCTTTCTTTTTTCTTTTTTTTTTTGAGATGGAATCTTGCTCTGTCACCAGGCTGGAGTGAAGTGGCGTGATCTTGGCTCACTGCAACCTCTACCTCCCGTGTTCATGTGATTCTCCTGCCTCAGCCTCCCGAGTAACTGGGACTACAGACATGCGTCACCATGCCCAGCTAATTTTTGTATTTTTAGTAGAGACATTGTTTCACCATGTTGGCCAGGATGGTCTCAATCTCTTGGCCTCATGATCCGCCCCCCTAGGCCTCCCAAAGTGCTGGGATTACAGGAGTAATCCACCGCATCTGGCTGACATTTATGAATATATTTTATGTGGTCTTCCTCTCCTCCAAAATCCTCTCTTTCACCATTATTATGAAACAAACACAAAAAGGTATACAAAAGCATACTGTAACCTTTAAAGTGCCATCCAAATGTGAGTTTATGTCATTATTGTTTCTACAACACTCTTGGAGGCCCACCCTTGGGTGATCGTTTCAGAGTAGCGTGGTGGCTCCCTTCCCTGGAAGTTGCCTGCTGGCTGTCACGAAGTGTCCTCAATTGCAAATATCCACACATAATTCTGTTCCATTCCTACTGACTGGACCGGATGTGGGGACTCGGCTCATGCTGAACAAATGGCATTCTCCCTCCTAGGAATTTGATTTGGGATTGAAAGATAGGTGGTCAGTTTGAGCTCATTATGGTGGAGGAAATGTAATTATAGAAGCTTCATAGGGAAACTCTTCTGCCTTCCAAGTAGATTGAGAATGTAAAAAAGTAACCAAAAAGCGTCTGTAATCCCAGCATTTTGGGAGGCCGAGTCCAGACAGATCAGGAGGTCAGGAGATCAAGATCATCCTGGCTAACACAATGAAAACCCATCTCTACTAAAAATACAAAAAATTAGCTAGGTGTGGTGGCGGGCGCCTGTAGTCCCAGTTACCTGGGAAGCTGAGGCAAAAGAATCGCTTGAAACCAGGAGTTGGAGGTTGCAGTGGGCCGAGATCGTGACACTGCACTCCAGCCTGGGTGACAGAGCGAGACTCCATCTCAAAAACAAAACAAAATAAAACAAAACAAAGTAGCCAAAAAGCTCAAACTAAAACAAGCATAAAAAGTGAAAATATAAAAAAAAGTAATATAACATAGCATAATGTAGTTAACTCCATGCTGTTCTTGGTCTAGTCAGACATTGTATGAAGCCATGCTCTTCCTCACAAGGATAAAGAGTGATGGAGGATCAATCAAAATCCATTATTACCTCTGGAAACACAACACATTGTATATCCCATTGATGGCTCAAGGCTTGTGACTAGCAGAGAGAACACAAGTTGTAAGTGGTCATGGTGATGGCCTTGTGAGCCACTTGTATAATTTGCTGTTTTTGTAATGTCAGGGCCTAGGGAACCCTAAGGGGCATCTCCGTGAAATCAATTGACAGGTTTCCTCTTGTCAGGCATTATTACTGTCATACCTGGCAAAAAATTACGTGAATTCCAATCAAGTCATCTTCAGCAAATGTTTATTTGGAATGTAGGTACATAGCTCCTACAGTGTCTGCCTCATTTCCCATCAAATCAGTAGGTATCCCCTCAGGCAACACATGCAACTAGTGTGCATGGTATTGTCTGTGTGTGGTGGGTGCATGTGGAGTGAAAGAAGGAAGGAATGGGTCTCAGAGGCCTGCAAGAGATAATGCTTGTGATGACAATGTTCTCGTTTTCTCAGCCAGTATGACTGTATCTTTGATATCTCTGGCTTGAAGTGACATCTCATGATATTCCCAATAATAATAATTATCCCTTGATTACTATTTTCATATTTAGGCTGAAAAATGTTATATTCTCTTATACATATTTTCATGTAGTCTGAGACCAAGGTTTCTGCTTCTTTGTCTAATTTGGACTATACACATGCATACCAGTGAGATTTTTTCTCTGTTGCTACTCATGAAAAAGACTGATTCCTCTTCTAAGACTGAATTCCAATGAGGAGAAATGAAAGAGCAGAAACAGACACTTGTCCTTCCCTAATGTAAATCACACTGCAAAGCCTAATTTATCTCATGTAAGAAACATCCACTTATGCTTTAGAGAAAGGAGCCAAGAGAGGTCTACCCATCTTTGAAAGGATAACCATCACTCAGACAGGTTGGATGTTGTGAACAGAGCTTCAGAGAAGAAATCATAGAACTTGGGTTTGGTCCTGATGGAATTACCCATAAGTCCTAATCATACAACATGAGGCTGTTTCCTCATTGATTAATTTTTTTAATGGAGATAACAATACCCATCTTAGATTTCTCAGAGTTAGTATAAAGGCCAAATAAGATAAGGTATGAAAGCACTCAGAAATAATAAAACATGGCAACAATGTAAGATAAGCATGTGATGACAAGTATGGTTTTAGATGATGGTAGACCAGACCAATGCAATGTATATATAATTTATTTATGTGTATGTGAATTTTCTTTGAGTCCAATTTTTTTAACCTCTTATTTAAATGTTGAGCTCACATTTCCTTTCATAAAACACATTTTTGGTCATTTTATCTTTACAAAAAGAGAATATTTCACCACAAATTCAAGATAAAAAAAAAATGCAGCTAAAGGTCTATAGGGGTATAAATCTAAATGAGTCCATTAACGAGAACTAAAAAGTCAGTCCATCACAAATGAAAAAGGCAAGTAAACATCACGTTTAATGAAATCTAGTTAAGGAAATAAATTACTCTCTATTTCTCTTTTCCCCAGTGCCAGTGTTTCATGCCTAGGTTTGCGAAACCAAGTGTTTGGAGATAAAGTTAATTCTAAATGTAGTTTCTCAACTATTTAAATAGCAAGTCTTTCTCGTGTTTACTTAAACGCACACAGAGCTGCATGGAGTCCAAACACTGAACACTTTATATGCTGACACTATGTAGTATCAGTGCAAATGAGAATCTACGTGATAAGAAACATCATGCTTATACCCCATTCTTTCCTGTTCCAAATGGGATTTTTAGAGACAAAAATCCTTGAAGTGAACAATTCAAAAACTTAGATTTTAAACATCACAACGAAAAGCAAAGTTGACAAGCAGCTTCAACAAGCAATGTTGTATGGTAGAGATTCTTCATTAGACCATGAGGCAGTCCATTAATGATTCCCACTTTCTATAAACTGTTTAACAAATATCCCACAAGCATTTATGGAATGTTTATTACATACCAGTTGATATTTTAGGCATTTAGACTACATATGTAAACAAAAGAAAATATATTCAAAATTAGAAAGTAATAAATTGTTGTTTAATGAAATTTATGTCAAATATAGTTTTGGGCTTATCTAAGTTGTTAAAGTAGATAACAATAATTTCCTTAATCTATAAAAATAATAGTCATCATTTATAAACCAATATCCCATTTCAATGTGTCAACAGGAAAAATATTTTTTTCTTTCTGAATTCCTTTGACCTTGTAAAACACACACAGTAATAATATCATATTGACAAAAGAGGTTTAGTTCAATAACATCCCACCCTCTTTCCTTGCACATTGTGAGGTACGGTATTAGTAGTTGAAGAGGAAAAATCAATAGGCATAATTTTGTGTATTTGGTTTCTCCTTCTAAGAAAATTGAGGGTGTAGATAAAGTTGGATACCAGGGTTGTGCATGGCACAAATTAACATTCTTGTGCACATTTCTCCAGCAGTCTTGGCAGCAGAGGATTAGAGTAGAAAGAGCAATGGATTAAGAGACAGAGTCATCCGTTCTACTTCTTGCCTTGTGCAAATTTGTGCTATGAGTGCATTAAATTCTCTATATTTAAGTTTCTACATCTGCAAAATGACAGCTGGATCGTATTACTGTAAAAAGTCACTTTTAGGCTGGGTGTGGTGGCTCACACCTGTAATCCCAGCAATCCGGGAGGCCAAGGCGGGCGGATCACGAGGTCATGAGATCGAGACCATCCTGGCCAACATAGTGAAACCCTGTCTCTACTAAAAATACAAAAAATTAGCTGGGCATGGTGGCGGGCACCTGTATCCCAGCTACTCAGGAAGCTGAGGCAGGAGAATGGCGTGAACCTGGGAGGCAGAGCTTGCAGTGAGCCGAGATCGCTCCACTGCACTCTAGCCTGGGCGACAGAGTGAGACTCCATCTCAAAAAAAAAAAAAAAAAAAGTCACTTTTAGATATAAAATTCTTTAATTCCCAATGGTAAAAAATATACATAAGACATAGGTCAATATGCAATTTTGGGTATGAAGAAAAAATATTGTAAACAAATATACTATTAAATACTAATCTGAAACATAATTGAAGCAAAAGGCAAATTTTTAACTACATATAGATTAAAACTGTAAAAACAGTGAGTTACATTTAATTCCCAAGACCACAGTAGCCTGTGGAAGGAAATAAAGATGTGAATACTAATACAAAGTTAAACAGCAGCCTTTGCATTCCCCACTGCAAGAACTAATGAGATGTCCCATACTCCAGTTTTTCTCTCCTCCTGCAACAGCACCCAAATTAAAGTTTTTCTTTTATCCTTGCATGTGCTGCTCTGTGCTCCAAGGCCAGACTGCCTATGAGAGTGTGTGATGCCTGTGTCTACATCAATGGCAACCACAATCACCACCTTACATACTCACCTGGTCCAACCATGCTTAGCCAATGCTTATTTCCAGACCCACCACCACCAGTTTTACCATTTTGGTGGCCCCCAAT
Organism: Homo sapiens; assembly: GCF_000001405.40. Classification (NCBI taxonomy): domain Eukaryota; kingdom Metazoa; phylum Chordata; class Mammalia; order Primates; family Hominidae; genus Homo; species Homo sapiens. Next base: position 84,044,964 of record NC_000004.12, on the reverse strand, counting down.
GATGTCCTCATGCAGGTGAGAGAGGGCTTCCCCAAAGGCTTTTATTCTGGGCCTTACTTCTTTCATTTTCTTACAGGTCTCTCAATTAATTTAATTCCTTCATTCAATAAATTTTTAATTAATTGTATATTATATGGAAAACACTGTCTAGAAAACCAGGAACACAAAAGTATTCATAGTAGAAAATGTGGTAGGGAAGATAGGCATAGAACATGTAATTACAAGTATTTGTTAAGATAGAATTTCTAAGGCTCTGTAAGAAGCATGGTGAATTTCCCCCAGGCTAGTTTGGAAGCCATTTGAGTGGCATCAATCAATTATGAAATTGCAAGTATCTTCCCAGGGGCAAACTCAAGCTTTCATGCACATGTGTCAACCCTGTTCCAACTCCCTAAAAAGCTTTCTGCCAGTGTAGGAACTATTTTTATCCCTTTTGCTCAAGGGTCTTAATATTAATTAACTAATATTAATTAATTCTGGGGCCAGACTGTCAGTTCCAAAGTTGTCCTTACCATACCAAGTTCCTTCCATGCCAGGATTCATATCACAGAGGACATGGACTATTGGCTTCCAGTCTCAGTTCTAACATTTACTGGCTGGGTGATCTTAGGTAAGTTATTCAACCTTTCTGAGCCTCAGTTTCTTCATCTGTCCAACAGGGAACTTATAAAGTTATTGTAAGGATTAAATTGTGATATCTATGCTTCACACATACCTTGTTCATGATAGGCCCTCAAAATTGTTAGCTCTTGCTGTTTCTCTACTCTCTGAAACATTTTTCAATATGTATGCATTTTGACAAGGACTGAATGAAAATGGGAGAAATTTGAATCGTGAGTTATGGTGATAGAGTTGTCATCTCTAATGACATTTTAATATCTGCTGCTATACTTTTATCTATCAAAACTTTTTCCTGTTTATGGTAGAAAATGTAGAAGTCCAATAAGTAAAAAGAAGAAAAAAATCACTCATAATCTCATAACTTAGAGATATCTACTGCCAAAAATAAATGATGAAACCCTGGGCTAAAACTGTGGTAAATTATTGGAAAACATCAGTTGCATATTTACAAAACAGAGGATAGCTATTGATGAAGGGCTGACTTAAAAGGAGGTAAGAAGGGACTGATATGCTCAGGTAGGTTTTTGGCTACCCTTTTATGGCTGCTAGAGGGTCTTGATGACTCTGTCTCTATCCACGTAAACAATTAGGCTAATGGAGCCCAAGTCTAAGGAATCATCACCACAAGAAAATCCAGCTCATTTAGTGCAAGCCCTGGCCTCTGGCCCTTTCCTGGGAAAACAGGGATCATCTTTGAAGACTACTTCCAATTTGTCCTATAAAATACTTAATCAGGCTCATCTTTAGAGCCAGCCTTGCAATGGGCCCTCAGTCATCCTCTGCCCCTTGTTACTCCACATTTCTGCCTTGGTGCTCATTGATCCCTCCTGCTGTTTTACAAAATAGGAGATTTTGATGCCACACATAGCCAATCTTGTTCATGCAACCTCCAGCCTTCTTAGGCCTCATCAGCCTTATTTTTCCTTGTTGTTATCACTGTCTTAAATACTAAGATATTGTACTTATTCATATTTTTTGTTTTCTTCCATCTTTACAATGAGTGCTCCAAACATGGAGAGACTTTCATTTAATTTATTCTGTGATGTATCTCCAGCACGTGGTGCATAGTAGCACTAAATAAATATTTGATGAATGAAAATTTAAAAAATAACTAAAGCATAATCTTTTGCTATGGTTTTAATATTTGTGTCCCCTCCAAAATTCTTGCTGAAAGGTAATCCCCAATGCAGTATTAAGAGGTGAGTTCTTTAGGAGTTGTTTAGGCCATGAGGGCTCTGCCCTCAAGAATGGGATGCCTTATAAAAGGGCCAGAGGGAACTAGCGAGGCCCTTTTGTTCGTTTCCCTGTGCCCTTCTACCGTTTAGGGACATCGTGTCCACCCCCTCAAGAGGAGGCAGCGTTCAAAGCACCATCTTAGAAGTAGAAAGCAACCCTCACCAGATATTTAACTGCTGGCATATTGGTCTTGGACTTCAACTTCCATAACTTTGAGCAATAAATTTATGCTATTTGTAAATTACCCAGTCTGTGATATTTTGTTACATACAGCAGAAGAAATGGACTAAGACATCTTCCAGTGTGTAAGTATAAAAGGTCATTTCAGATCATCCACTGTTTAGGTGATGGGAAATGTTAAGGACAGCCCACTGGGCATGAAATGGTAGAGGGTGGATATGTGAAAAGGAAAATCCAGCGCTGTCTAGAGACATGGAATACACATGTCACATACTCCACAGCATGGCTATGTTATAGCAGGTTTATTTTCACCCAGTTGGGTATGAATAAAATTCTTCACCAATTCTACAAAATTAAAAAAAAAAAAATGAGTAAGGCCAGAATATTAGCCTGCTAGGGCTGCCATAATAAAATAATACAGACCAGATGACTTAGACAACAGAAAGGTACTTTCTCACATATCCTGGAGCCTGGAAGTCCAGGATCGAGGTGTTGGCAGGTTTGGCTTCCTCTGAGGCCTGTTTGCAGAGACTTATAGATGATGCCCTCTTGCTCCCTCCTCATATGGTCTTTTCTCTGTACATGTTCACGCCTGGTATCTCTCTGTATGTCCTAATCTCCTTTTTTAATAGAAACACTAGTCAAATTGGATTAAGGCCCACCCTAAAACTCCAAAAACAAACAAACAAAAGATCCCTTATTTTAACTTAATTAACTCTTTAAAGGCCCTAACAGCCAATACAGCCATAGTCTGAGGTTTTGAGGGTTACAGCTTCAACAGATGAAACTTGGAAAGACCCACTTCAGTTCATAACATCCAGTTGTCTAATTTTTGGTGACTAATGCACTCTGCATAACGTGAATATAAAGTTATTTTAGTGAGCTTTTATAACCTTAGAGAGAGCTGTATAATTTTGTTCCCAAAAGGCTCTTTCATAGAGGAATCATTTTTCAGTCTTAACTGACTTGTAGTGACTCATCATCTGAATAAATAAAACATATCTCCAAAAGTGTCAGTTTCTCTAAATATTTTACAAATTTGACTGAAAATACTATGATAAAGATGCAATGATGTCAGAAATGTTAGAAACCATTGGTTATCACAGGACTGTAAGAATATTGTCATGTGTAACTAGGTAGCTCTGAAAGTTTTTGACACACAGGCATATAAAAAGATTTTATATAAAGGTGATTAGAGGTCTTTCTACCAGATCTAATTTCGTTTCTTCAAAAATAGAAAGCAGAAATTAGGTAAGAGTATTTAATGCAAATAAGTAGCATAGAGTGAAACTCTCAAAGATAAGATACATACGGGCTTTGCAACCAAGGATGACAAGTAGGAGAATACTATATGTGTGGGCTAGAAGGAAATTGAATATCATTTCGTCATTTATTTTAGTTATGAGGAAATGAATTCTTGTAAAGGCAAATTATCTTCTCCAAGAGACAGAATATAAATAGAATCCATACCTACCCACTCTGGTTTCCATTCTACACTCACTCTGGTGAGTATATCTGAAATCCAAGGTGAATGATTTGGACTGCCCAGAGGCCTTCCTAACCTTGGTAGAATAAAGTTGACAGAATATTACAAGGAATAAGTTCCATCAACAAAATCTAGGTAGAAAATTGTAGAGCCTAATTGAAAGAGTAGAATCCAGATTCAGGAGACATTGGAATACCATTTACTGTCTATGTGATCTTAGGCAAGACTCTTAACTTCATTAAACCTAATTGTGTCATCTACACACTGGGAATAACAATAATTCTTGCCCTATAAGCTTCATTGGGCTATTGATGAACAAAAAAGATAAAGGACTTACAACTCCTGGTAAATATTAAAGTGGTATTCAAACACTGTGTGTGATAATCATTGTTATATGCCAAGAATAAGTATGCCAATGAGATCTATCTTTCAAGCAGAGAGTTGACTTGAAAATGTAATCTGGGATAGATATACTAAGAATGAAAATGTCAGTTTTCTTTACTTTCCTTTAAAAAAATAGTACCAGCTGCATAAACCACCTCGGAGCTCAAGTTTAAAGAACACCTTTGCCATTTTAATTAAAGTATAACTGGTAGCCTATAATGACAGTTACATCCAAGAGGAGGGGCTTCTCACACTGATCCCTAATGTAGAAACTCAGATTAAAGAACTCACAGTGTATAGAAATACCAGTTCCATAGTCCAGAAGATTTGGAACTGAGATAATATTCATTATGCAGTAGGTCCTAAAGATATGAATGAATTTGGGTCAAACCTAAGATAAATAGAAAGCCTACCACAGGAGGACCTCATTGAAATTGATTCTTCCAAACTAAAAGAAAACCACTGAAAATTTAAGACTTTTAAGGATGTTTAATACCACTGAAAAGGAAGAGCCCGAATTGAGCATAGTAAGAAATAGTCACATGGATCCCAGACCTGGAAGACTTTTAGGTTTCAAGAAAGTATAGCTTGGAGAAATAAGAGTCTAGTTCATTAGGATAATTGAGAGGGTATATTAAAATCCAAGGGAAGGAAGAAAGTCTGAAGAAATTTCAATGATAATGTCATTGAGGTCCAGCAGTTTCTTTCTGTGAAAGAGCAGGAGTCTATACTGAGACAGGGGCAGAGTATTCAAGAGACAGGGCAGATGGGGAGGGGAGGGAGAAAGTAAAGAGGGAGAGAAAGAGAGAAAGGAAGAAGAGAATAAGCAGATGAGAGGAAGAGGAGGGAGAAAGAAAAGGGGAGGGAGAGAGGAGACCAAAAGGAAGGAGAGAATGAGCAGATGAAAACTGAGAATGTCCTATACTGGAAAGAAGAAAGAAGAGAATAAGGCTGCCTCCCTTGCCACACACACATACACTCCTTACTGCCAGAGGCAGATAGACCCTGAATCTAATGAAGTTTAAGTTTTAGGACACCTCACTTACCCAAATCCCCTTTCAAACCCAAAGAAAAGGCCTGAGCTCCACACTCTCACAGTAGTATGATTTGTTAAATTTGCACTCCTAAGACCTTTTAACCACAGTTAATCAAGACCACTGGCTCTTTCTATTCCCTCTTCCTCCCCAGTCAATAGCACTGAAAGGACTATGCACATTTTGGGATCAAACTAAGAGGAAGATAAGTTAGGAATACTTTTGGCGTGGATTCAATGGGGTCCACAATCACAGAAACATTAGGAGCAGGGCCAAATTTCACATTGCCATATGGATATGTCTCATGGTGTCAGCACCAGAAAGGTGTGGCTGTGGGAGGAGAGATGATGTTTAATATAAACAAAGCTAGAAGCTAGCTTTGGAGAAATTCTTCCAAATATTATAGCTCATACATGAAAGAATCTTGGTAGAGATTTCCCCAAATTTGACATTCCTAAAGGTTTGCATGATATAACCAATAACAAGTTATGAGGTTGCAGAAACTCTTGTAAATACCAGCAAATTAAAAATTCTCTGACCATTCCAAAGGATAAATGAAAGTATTTTTTCTATTCTTTTGTATAAATATTACTAGGGTTGCCAGATAAAATACAGCATACCTGATTAAATTCGAATTTTGGATAAACAGCAAATACATTTTTTAAATTAATTCATTAATTTTTATTAGATATATGTTATAATTATATCTATTTATAGAGTACAAAGTGATGCTATGATACACATATACAATGCAAAATAATTGAACAAGCTAACATATCCATCAACTCAAATACCTATTATTTATTCCTACTGTCCAACGGAAACGTCGCACCCTTTAACCAATATTTCCCTGTTCCTCTCACGCTGCAGTGTCTGGTAACCATCATCCTGCTGTCTGCTTCTATGTGTTCAATATTTTTAGCTTTCACATATAAGAAAACTTGCACTATAACAAATTTTTAGTGTAGTATTTTCAAATATAGCGTAGGACATATACTAAAAAATTATTCATTGTTGATCTAAAATTCAAATTGGACTGAACATCTGTATTTTTATTTGCTAAATCTCGCAGCTCTATATATTCCAAAATCATTAGTGTGTGAAAAGATGATTAATGATTCTGTAGCCAGAAAAATACAGGAAAGAAAGTATTAGAGAGGTTTTTCTGATAATTAACTAAACAAGCATTATTTTTCCAGATTGTGTGATATTTATAGTATTTTGTAGCTCTGCCCTGTAATAAATATTCATATTTATATTGAAATTTATCATTTTTTTTTCATAAGGGGGCCCACAAACCTTATCTGTCCCTGCCCCCCACCCTGCCTCTAAAGGATACAAAAATCTATCAGGACTCCCAGGAATAGAATGGAAAGGACAGCCAAAAAGGAATAATGAGCTAATGCTGGCCAAATACATTAAAGGGAGTAAGAAGGTATTTTACAACTATCAGCGAAAAGAAATATTTGAGCATATGTAGAGCCATTAACAAATAAGGAAAGAAGTGAAATTAATAATGACTCTAAAACAGCTGAGATAATGAACTCCTTTCTCAACTTTGGCAAGATAAATAAGGAAATGGAATTTGCAGAATTAGGAAGTAATGAAGACCTTGTGAAAATAGCTGTTAATATATGGCAGGTAAAACATGCTTGGAAAATCAGAATAAATCAGGGTGACTGGGAGACATGTCTCCTGGGGTACAGAGGGGAGCACATAACGAAGTTGCTAAACTACAGACCATTGTTGTCAACAATTGTGAAGGCTAAGAGAGGAAATTGAAAACAAACAGAAGGAAATGGGAAAGTGAAAAATATAAAAAATGGTTCCAGAATTCAAAATGTACATTTGAATTATTTAGTAACTCAAAGGAAACAGAACACTTATTAAGGAAATCCCATAAAAAATGTATTAAACTTAATCATATTACAAGATTGGACAAGATCCAATTATTTATATGTACAATAAGGAGGATGTCAGATAAAAAGGACATACAGTAATAGAATAGGTACGTATAGTATTCTGAATCATGAACATTTTATACTCAAAATTATTTTTAATTGGCTGGTTAAGGAATATAGTTATTTAATTAAAGTCAACTGGAGTCATATATAACAATGCTAAAATGTAATGCTGAATAAAAAATAATGGACTTCCATGGAAGCTGATTGGGTATGAGCTATTCTAATTGCCAGAGTCATAAACTTTCTTACAGAGATTCCCAAAAGGGAGATAAACATGAACCATAATTGATAACTGTTTCTCACTAGAAAGATATTTCAGCATAGGCCTCATGAAGTCAAGGAGTCATAGAACTGGAAGGTACTTAATATAAGACAGGCAAAATATTTTTTCATAAGGCAACAAATAAAATCTACAGAACTACAAATCAATGGAGACCTAGTATAGTCCAGTTTATTCATTTTGTAGACGCAAAGTTAAGGCCCAGAGAAACTAAACAACTTGCCCAAGGTAGTGAGAGACAAAGCTAGGATTGGAAATCAGATCTCTTTTATTTTCTTTTTAATGATCATTCCTTCACATTTTGTTGTAAACTTCGTAAAGGTAGAAACCGAATTTGTTTTAAACCACTGTTCCCCCTGTGCCAGACACACACATACTTAATATGTGCTAAATGACTTCATGAAGCATGTGCATAATTCTACTGCTATTTATCTCTACTTTTAATTAATAATACATTTCTCCTCATCTTCTCCGTTGGTTTCTAGCGTCCTATGAGCAAGGGATCTTGAGACAGCTACTATTGAGGTGCCATAAGCAAATAACTACTAAATTCATTTTTTTTAAATGATGCTAAGACCACTAAAAGTAACAGTGGCACTAAAGCCCACACAAAGACATTAGAGTTAGCTCAAAATTTTTGTACTTAAAGATTTGCAGGGTCATTTGTGACAACTCTTTCAGGAATGTGTGGGTTTATATGCATTCAGAGGGAAAGTGATCTGTAGAGAATTGAGATCACGTATGTGAAGAACCTACTGTAAGCTTCATATACTCTGCAGCAAAATAGGGGATGTTCAACAAATGTTTATTTCCTCTCTAATCTTTGAAACAGCACAACTTCAGCTGTGATCACTTATGCATCATGGAGACAACCTGGAATGCCAGTGGAAGCTATTGTTAATGAAGGACTTTTTAGAAAAGATGTTTGAGACAGGCCAAGAAGTCTCAGTGAATTAAATGGTTTCAATCTACAGTCTTCCAACTACATTAAGACTTGATTCAATTGTCAACTAACCTTGCAACATTAATGAACGTGCCTTTTGTACCTGTAAATGAAATTACCCTTTGTTTAGTGAAGACTCCAGAATTTCTACAGAGAAAGGGCTTATGAGAAGCAATCTGTTTCAAGATGCTGCAAGAATTACATAGCACATGTGCTGTTGAATTTAGATTGTGTATTTACTTATAGTAACTGGAAGAGAATTGGTCTGCTCTTGGAGATTATCAATATTCTAATACCCATCTCTCCCAAAGCCGCATCTTGGGCTCTAATGGGCTATGCCCCTAAAAATAATAAAGAGGTTAATCGTGGACACCTTGATGTGATGTAGGGAGGCCTTCATCACACCAGACTGAAAAAGGTCTCTCTTCACTGTGAATGACAAATCATTTGTTCTGAGAAAAACCATATATAAAGAGTGACAGCAGAAAAAATGGGAATGATTCCCTACTGCACCACCAGGCTGGGATACAGCCTTAAAAATGATCTCTTAAATCTAAAATGGCTAAGTAGGAATCTCAATCTAGAAGTAGGAGAGACCAAAAAGAACACTTACCTAATGCAGCCCTAAGTGCTGCCATTTCTCAGAGGCCAGCTCTCACCATGGTTAAATATGTTCGGAAGAGAGTTATTTATTAAAATGTTGGATTTGAAGGCCTATTGTGACTTTTTCTGACATCGAGATTTTAGGGTTCTTGACTGCAGACAGACACAAGGTGTTGTTCTTCATCTACCATTTGGATGCATGCAAACAGCTAAATTCATGTTTAAATAATCATGGATTAGTCAAATATATTTCTTTTACTTGACTGTTTTTTCCCCAAAATTATTTTGGCACATACGTCCCTCTTGAACATCCAATCTTTTTACTCTTGGAAAACCAGAACCGGGTCACTTTGCATTAATCCTCAACATTGTATTAAGAAGAGCCTTTCTAGGAAGACAGACGGGAGGAGTGTATTCTCAGCTGACTTAGAAACTAATTATAGAAAAATGCAGAGACAGAGTTCTTAGGGACTCAGCGAGAACAAAGCTGAGTTCAGACATGTTTCTGAAAAAGCATATGCATAAATTCCATTTTGTCATAAAGAAAATTCATTCTCCTTTTCACTCAGTGTCTGTAACTCAGATTTAAAATTCATCTTCTTTCAGTAGAGCATTGTTTCAATAAATCCTTTTTTGGTAATAACTCAAGCAAGCAAAAAAGTTTCATTACTCAATAAAAGAGACAAAATGGTGGTGGTGTTTTTGCTGTGACTTTTAAAAAATATGTAGTTTAGAAAATCACTCCAAACTATGCCAATTTGAAGGTTCAGCATTTATTAAGCTTCAAATACATGTAAGTGTTATGCTGAGCAAAGTAATTACAAAGATATATAATACATGTTTTTGGATAAATCTAAAGACTAATAATCAAATGAAAGGCAGGGGCACATTAACAAATAACTATGATTCAAAGCAACTATAACCAGAAATTACTGTGAATTCGATATAAGTCAATAGATAAGGATCATGAGAATATCTATAAAATCTTAGGTTATATCAAAAGTACTGAAAATTTTTAGTATAATTGAAGGGCATGGTTTTGCTCTACTTGGTGGTGGTTAAATCATACCTGTATTATTGGGGTGAGCTCTGATATCACATATTAAGAGGGCTGTAGACAAGCTGGAATACCTTGAAATAAAAATAAAAGGAGGAAACTAACTAAACATGTCCTGAAAAGTAGCTTCAAGAACTGAGGATGGTTAGCCCTGGGAAGTGGGGATAAAGTGGCACAAGCCAGTTATCTCTAAAGAGCTAAAGAGCTATTATGTAAAGAGGGACTAGATTCCACCAAGCAAATCCAGTATCTGTAAATGGAAGGTATATCGGAGAGCTCTGGAGAATATAAGAATTTTCCAGCAATTGAGGCTGTCTTTAATTGGAATGTGCTGCCTCTGGAAAGTGTGAACTGCTTGCTTGGAGAATTGCTAAAGGAAAGGCTGCAAGATTACTCATGGAGGTTGTTGAAAAAGTGGTTCATACAACAGTGAGGCTTCGGCTAAATGGCTCCTTTGAGGTCTCTGAGATTCTAAGTGTTATATTAGAGGAGTAAAAACAGGCAGTGGAAGAAATGAGCATGAAAATGAATGCTGACTGTAATGGTCTGAGAGGCCCTGTACAAGATGTAAGACTTGAACCGAGATTTGAACAGCAGCAAGGATCTCAGGACACAGTATCGAAGAGAGAATGCATTGCAAACACAATTATAAGTAGATGTTATCCTTGGAAAGTGACAATATGGGCCATAGAAACAGTATAGGCTCTGGAGTTCGATCAACCTGCATTTAAGTCCTGGCTAACTTTATTTCTGTAACTGCGTCTTCACCTGTGATTTCAGCTAAGAAATCATACTTTTCCCAGTACCCTATCCTCTTCCTAACTCCAAACCAGTTCAAGGGACATACCCACAGGTCTCATAAATTTCTTAAACTCAAGGTGTCTCCAACCGAAGTGTCTCTTTTTCATTTAAAATCTGCTCCTCTTTTTATATTATCTATCTTAGCAAAATCATTACTGACTACCCAGTTGTCTGGCCAAAATGTGGGAGTCAGCTTAGATTCATTCTTTTCCACTGCTGACCATACCCACTGCCAATTCCTACATCCTGGCCACTCTACTCCTTAATAGATTTAGGTTTTTCCTCCTCCAGGGCCACTACCAGTGCTTTGGTCTTTTATTTACCTACACTCCTAAGTGATCTGTCATACTCATCGCCAATCTTACCTCATACATTTGCTGCTTAATGTGTTCAACAAATTCTTACCATCTCTATCACAAAGTTCAAGTTACTTAGTGTGGCATACAAGGCCCTTCATAGTCAAAGCCCTGTCATTATTCAACACTATTCTACTCTCAACTCCAGCCCTAGTGAACTTATTCCAGCTACCCCATTTCTTCAGGTGTCCAGTCTTTTCGTTATGGACATTCCTGGGCTTTGAAGACTTTTTTTCAGTTATCCACTTGGTTTACTCCTTTGTGAAGGTTCAGTTCTGGTATCATTGCCCCAGAAACCTTCCCTGAGCACATTTTTTTCTTCCCGCCACCACTTTGTCACTTTGTTAAATGTGCCCCGTAGCACTCTGTGCACATCTTCATCATAGCATTAACCACACTCTTCTGTGATTGCTTCCTCTTTCATCTTACACTGGTTGGTGAGCTCCTTGAGGGCAAGAATTGAATATTTTACCACTGTAACCCTGGCACCTGGTAGATACAAAGTAGGTACTTGTGGAATAAGTACCTACTTTTTGTTTTGTTACTATGTATACAATCTTGAACTTAAGTTCTAGGAACTTCACTTTAATAATTTATGAAGCAGAAATTATATTGTTTATTTTATTCTTTTTGTGGGAATAAATGAGAAAATAAATAATAATAATTAGGACTATTTTGTGGCTTGGGGCACAAAGTGCTTGGAAAGTTGTAGCATGTAATAAAGTTGAAGCTAGGGAAGGAAGGATGTCAGACTGAAGATGCTTGGTTGAAATGTGGAGATATGGAAATAGTCCTCCTCGTTATTATTCTTGAAGTTCAATACCCACTCTAGGAGCACAACAGTTCCCAAGAGAATTGGAGATGTCGTCTGTTGACAGCACGTCATGGAGGTTAAGTGTTAGAAAAACCTAGCTTCAAATCCCAGATCTGCATCTTACTAGCTGTGAAATCTTAGGCCAATTATTTAATCTCTCTGAGCCTCAGATTCCTTATCTGTAAAAATGCAGAAATGTACTTACAAGAAGGTTATTAAGATGATAAAGTTAAATTAGATAGCATAAGTAAATTACAGAAGCTATTTGTTGGCACTCAGTAATAACTATAGTAGACACTTAAATGTTATTTACTACATCCCAGGCACTAAATTGTTTACATATATTAACCCATTTCATTGTCACAGCAATCCTATGAAGTAGTTTCGGTCATTAGTTACAATTTACATGTGAGGAAACTGAGGAACAGAGAGGTTAAGGCTCTTGGCCAAGGTGATAGAGCTAGTAAGTGCACCCTAGAAAATGCTGAACAGATGGTGTCTCTAGATATTATTAGTTTTCTCTCATTACTGGTTTCAGGCTGTTGTCAGTGCTGTTGGTAAGTGAATATCGTGACAGATGCTAGACTTCTTGGTTGAAGGGATACGTGTCTCTGGTCAGATGGTCACTGTGGGCAGCTTGGCAGATTTCAATAGTGTGGCTCTTTGTTTTATCTCTAGAAAGTAGAACAACTCTATTTTGAGGTTCCATTATAATCAGTACAAGACTGGTTATTATGAATAGTACTGAGTCATATCAGGATTGCAATGTAAAATAACAACTGCTCTCTTCATCTCTTTTCACTTTTTGTTGTTTAATAATTTTTGTGTCATTAGAATAAATTTATGTAAGTGTTCACCTCCAATTCCTTCTGAAACAAAGTGAAGCATTACTTAATTTGAATCTAAGTTATGTTTACAATATTGACATAAAATTTAACTTATGATAACAGCAGATCCAAATATAAACAACTTGTAAAACAAAAAAGGTTGCACTAAGGTCTCTAGATATAATGAATATAAGTTCATTATTTCTATTTCTTATCTGATTATGTTTGTGCTTTTCTTAGTCTAACTTAAAATGTAATAGTGAACCTAGCTCAGAGCAAGCAAATCAAATTGTGACACTTCCTGAAGCCTAGAGCCTGGAGATTTTATACAGTTAGCCAAGCTCAAAGAACACCCAGGGGTAGGATGACTGCCAGTCCAAAGCTTCGGCCACAGCTTCGTTTTCATCATCATGCTCCCCACTAAGTTCCAGCACCCAGTTCAAGTTTCATTAGTGTCACCTCTAAGATTCGGTCCACCTTGATATGCTGAGGGCTACTACTGAGAGAAAGAAAATCTTAGGATTCACTTACTCAATTTCCTAAAATACATTTCATTTTATAAAATGCCTGCCAAAGTCAACTGATGGCAGATTCTAAAGACATCTTTAGTTTACTACCACGTATTGGACACTCACTAAGTGCTGAACACTCTCTCAGGTGTGGGGACACAAGAGAATGAAGCACAGCTCTTGGAAACTGAGAACTCAAAGTTGAGGAGAGGAGCTCTAAGTAACAGAACAACTGCACAGTCATACAAATTGTTTGAAAGTTGTGGCACATACTGCCCGCAAAAGAGGATGTAAAGATTAGGAGGGCATGGGAGGCCTGGGCTTCTTGTGGTGACTGACAAGGACAGGGATAAAGAGCACGGTGAGAAACAAATCTTGAGTACAGTGGGGCTTCAATAAACATTCGTGGAGTGAAGCAGTCAACAGGGATCTTAAAATTCACAAGCCAAGGGCTGTGAATTACAAGTGATATCTATTAATCATTTGAAGGCATCCAAGTACTGTATTTGGCATATTTGGCAAGCTTTGGACATGGAGGAGAAACAGATCATAGGCACTACTCATCCAGGAATGGAGAGTGGGGGGAGTGGGACATGTACCCCATTGCTGTTACACTCCAAGTGTAAGGGCTGGAAACAAAATTTCATTCCCATCCAAATGGGCCCTTTGGGGCCAGTGAAGATACTAACGCAGTCACTATTTTCACACAAGCCAGTTTCTTCCCACTACCTACCTACACAATCCTTACAAGGCCCTCCCCTGCCCTTGTCTCTTTGTTTAGTTTGCTGTTAAACATCAACTGTACTGTTTAGGACCCTATCTCAATTTCATTAGGAGTTTATTAGCTTCACTTCTGAGTCCTCTTGTCTCATAAATAAAAGCTGGGAAGCAGATTGACAGAGGGAAAAGCTGAGGCATAAAGCCAGGAATACCACTCAGTTCCCTTTGGGACGACTTTCCATCCCCATTCATTCACTCATTCTCTCAAAAAATAAAAAGGATTATGCTTCCAGATAACTTGAGAAAATTGCTGGTGGCTGCTAGTGTGGAGACAAGATGAAGACAACTCAAGAACCAGCCAAGGTGCCCAGCCATGTGGAATCCAAGTGGTGCATAAAGTCATTCAACGTGAAAAGTTGGGCAGCAGGGCCTATGTTCATGGAGAGATTTACCCAGGGAGAACAGCCAAAGAGAGGAGAGATGGCTGAGACCCGCCAGGTTAGGTGTCTGACCTTTTTTTAATTATTATTTTTTATTATACTTTAAGTTCTGGGATACATGTGCAGAATGTTCAGGTTTGTTACACAGGTATACATGTGCCATGGTGGTTTGCTGCACCCATCAACCTGTCATCTACATTAGGTATTTCTCCTAATGCTGTCCCTCCCCCCGCCCCCCACCCCCCGACAGGCCCCAGTGTGTGATGTTCCCCTCCCTGTGTCCATGTGTTCTCATTGTTCAACTCCCACTTATGAGTGAGAATATGTGGTGTTTGGTTTTCTGTTCTTGTGTTAGTTTGCTGAGAATGATGGTTTCCAGCTTCATCCATGTCCCTGCAAAGGTAATCCCTCACAGTTTTGGTGAGTGACTTGTTATATTCAAATTACAATATCTTCATTTCAGTCTTTCAGAGGGGAAAGCCACCAATTGAATCAGAGATCAGAGGAATTATTTTTTTAAAATGTTTTTATTCCAATAGCTTTAGGTGTACAAGTGACTCTTGGTTACATGGATAAATTGTACAGTGGAGAAGTCTAGGATTTTAGTGCACCTGTCACCCGAGTAGTGTACATTATACCCAATATGTAGTTTTTTATCCCTCATCTTCCTTCCACAACCCCTGCTTCCGAGTCTCCAATGTCTGTTATACAACTCTATATGCCTTTATGTACCCATAACTTAACTCCCGCTTATAAGTGAGAACATGCAGTATCTAGTTTTGATTCCTGAGTTGCTTCACTTGGAATAATGGCCTTCTGTTCCATCCAAGTTGCTGCAAAAGATGTTATTTTGTTCTTTACATGGCAGTAGTATTCCATGGTGTATATATACCACACTTTCTTTATCCACTCATCTGTTGATAGGCATTTAGGTTGATTTCATATCTTTGCTATTGTGAATGGTGCTACAGTAAACATACACACGCAGGTATCTTTTTGATATAATGACTTCTTTTCTTTTGAGTAGATACCCAGTAGTGGGATTGTTTAATTGAATGGTAGATCCACTTTCAGCTCTTTGAGAAATCCCTATACTGTTTTCCACAGAGGTTATGCTAAATTACATTCCTACCAGTGGCATATACGTGTTCCCTTTTCACTACATCCATGTCAACACAAAGATCAGAGAAATTTTAAGCCACTGTTCAAGTAAGTTTGCCATGCTGGGAAAGGTGGTAGGTTACTCTCTGGTGGCCAAAAAGCTAGAGAGGGTCAACCCCCTGATCAAGGAACATAAATTATTTGTTTGCTGAATTGATAGTATATGTTTACAATGTGATAGGGGGAGGGGAATCATTTCTCCTTAAAGATTGTTCCAATTCTAATAATAATTATTATTATAAACAAAGGCTATCATATAGTGCAGGAAGTCATCTAAGCACTTTCCAGGTATTAACACACTTAGCCCTCACAAATACCTTATGAGATTGGTACTTTTACTGTCCCCATTTTACAGATGAAGGAATTGAGGCACAGAGAGGTTATGCAATTTTGCAAAGACATGCAGCTGGTAAGAACTGAAACTCTCTATACTTACGCAGTCTGGCTCCAGGGTACGGTCTTTTCATTAATATAATAATTTAGTTCAGTAAGTAAGGCATCCAGCTATCTAAAAAGATTCTGTGTTCACATAGACCTATTATTAAGAAAATCTATGTCATGACATTAGCTCAGAAAAGATAATAAAAGGAGATTCATGTGGGGTTTATTTGCACAGTGAAGGGAATATTGGACTATGAATATGTGATATATGAGTAAATTTATACTCATGATTTTTATTCCACCTGACTACTAGCTGTGGATGCCTTGGTTATGTTCATTTCCTCATCTGTAAAATACAGATAATGTACCTGCCTTGTAGGATTATAAAATTAAATAAATTTTTACAGGCAAATATCTAGAGTACAGTAAATGTAAATAAATGCTATCACTAACAAGTTCAGCTCCTGTGCTAGTGATTTACCTGTTGTCTGCCATTCTCTGCTTACTCTTCTGTTTTCTTCCCAGACATGCCAGGCCTGGAGTCTGCAATCCATATTTCCCAGAGCACCTTGCCTTGGATTGCTGTAGTTAGACTACTGGAGGCACTAGAGGGAGTGTGAAAGGCAGAAGGCGGGGAGAAAGGGCTCCTTCTGCTGTCTGGTTAGTAGCAGCCTCATCCAGTAGCAAGAGACGCTGCATCTCTGGCCTCCAGCTTCTTGGGTACACCCAGCACCACTTGTGGTAAGACTCACAGGTACTTATCACAGGCATCAGCTCCTGTCACACCAAATCATCTGCCCTGATGTATCACCCTACCTTAGAAATGATAGCTGTTTCATGCAGTTCTCACAGTTTCTAATACTAATCCAGCATCACCTTTCTGTTCTTTCAGCCTTCCAACATCTAACCAATCCCCTTTATTACATCCTCACTGTTTGAAAGACCTAGAACATTTTCTGTTTTCTAGTAGGATCCCGATATTGATAGCATCTTTTAAAGCAGAGGTAATTACATCTTCTCCAGAGGTAATTATGCTCAAAACAAATAATCCTCCAGAAATCTTCATAAGTCATAAAATTTGCTTGGTATGAACATTACTTACTAACGCTTTCAGTCTGGTCTTCAGCAAATTGTGCAACAGGCCACCTTATAGTGTGGCTTGCAGTTAGACATATCTGAGTATAAGAGTTTCTGTGTCTCGTTACCTGTGTGTCTCTGAGAAGTTACCTAGCATAGGCCTTGTTTATACACCTATAAAACATGGTTAGAGATGCTAACTTTCTTGTTGTGAGAATCTCATGGAGTCATATGAAGAAATATTTGGTCAGTCATTAATCACTGTATAAATAGTTATTTCTCCAGATTCTCTTTCTGCACCCTCCTATACAGTGTCCTGCTTTGCTCACCTTCCTTCACTTTCTGCCCAACATCTTGAATCAGGATTTGTACCTTGGTCTTGTGCCAATTTTAAGACACTGTTCTACCTTCTCTTCTAGTTATTTTTCTTAGCTGTCCTTATGGAATAAAATGCTCTGAGCATTCTTCATGGAATTTGAGCGGGTATGGTAGATTCAACTCTTTGGGAGGTCAGAATCTTACTGTGATCTCTATGAGCCAGAATAATGCCCCTCCCCACCAAAGATATCTATGTTCTAATCCCCAAAACCTGTGAATACGTTACCTTACATGGCAAAAGGAACTTTGCAAATGTGATTAAGTTGAAGAGCTTGCGATGGAGAGATTATCCTGGATTATGTGGGTATTTCAAATGTAGTCACAAGGGTTTGTTATAAGAGGCACGCAAGAGCATCAGAGTAAGAGGAGATGTGATTACAGAAACAGTGATGTAATTTCCTAGGAGGCCATAAGTCAAGGAATCCAGGCAGCCTTGAAGCTGGAAAAGGCAAGGCAGTGGGTTCTTCCCCAGAGACCCCAGAAAGAACATAGTCCTGCTGCCCCTTGAGATTCATTTCAGACTTCTAACTTCCAGAACTGTAAGATGATAAATTTGTTTTCTATTAAGCCACTATGTTTGTGGTAATTTGTTATAGCAGCAAAAGGAAACTAATACAGCCTCTGAAACCATATTGTAAATACTGTTGCTTTTTCTATTCTAATTCTATTTATTCCTTTTTTTGACAAAACCAAAGTGCTCACTTAGTGGAAAATTTAAGAACACTTGTCTCTTTTGATAAGAAGAAATATGGAAGAAGAAAAGATCAAGAAAAATTAATAAATCCATAAACCGATGCTTTTCTTTCTACAGAATCATAATGTGTATAATATGCCTGTGATGACAATATTAACCGCTGTGTTACCATTAACTCGAATCTCTAACTTTTCCACTTTATGACAATAGACCATCTTCTGGTGACAACCTGAGACAGGGTTTACCAACTTAACTGCTCACAGGAACTAGGTAGGTAAGGTAAACGAATGAAGCAATCCAGGCGTTGAATTAGACAGGGACTCTGGGAAACTGAAGCAGAAGAACTGAAGGGGCTGCTTCTCAGTTGTGGACAATTGTTGCCATATCAAATGCTAGCCGCTTGTTGTTATGTAAATCCCCTCTCTTTTTAAATAATTACTCAAAATGTTAAAAATATTACTATAATATGTTTGTCAAAAAAGCCACTTCAACCTTTATAGTAATCTGCTGCCAGTCTTCCATTTGTGGCCTTTGCCTTTAGTATCTTACTACTTATTTCCTCCCTTGCAAACATCTGATGCAACGTAAACCAGAAAGTCCAAACTCTTTAGGTGGGGGTCCAGATCTGGTTGGTCTTAGCTTAGAGCCCAGACAACCTGGATGACTTACAAGTCCTCACCCTCAGCCTGTGGGTCCCTTTCTCTTTCCTTCCTCCTTCCAGCCTGAAATCCCTCCCCATCTGCATTTCTTAATCCTTTCCACCCTTGAAAGTCAAGTTCTAGTGCCAGCTCCCTATGAAACGCCCTGGGCACTCCCAGCTAGAAATGAGGTTCTTGCTCCTTGGTACTCCCTCAGCACACTCTGCCTTGTGCTCTAGTTATCTGAGTCCATTTCTTACCTCCCCATCTAAACTGTGACATCCTTGAAGATAGGACCTGGCTCCCTCACCTTCAGGCTTTTGAGAGCTTTTGCAGGTACTGATTATTCAATCTACAGTTGTTAACTAGATGGGCTTTGAGGGAATCTGTGAGAGGAGGAGGATACTGGGTATTCTGTAGGTCCTACTAGGCAGTACAAGAGCAGGTAGCACAGTGGAAAATGTTTTGGAGTCAGAGACCTGAGTTCAAGTTCTGATCTTGACACTTACAAGCTTCCTGACCAGTGGTAGCATGTTGCTTTCCATTTGTTAATTTCAATTTTCCCAAATGCCCACCTCACTTTTTTCAGAAATAAAAGAAATAACATATGGAAAGTCTAGCACAATGCTGGGTGGACCCCATGGGCACAGTCTTGCATACTATCTCTCTCTCACACACACACACAACAGGTCTAATTAGAAGTTTCCAGAAACCTCTTTTCTCTGAATGATGTTTCAGTTCAACTTTATGGGACCAACACCTAGGTATATCTTTTTTCAACCAAGAAGGAAAGTTGAAAAATTACCACAAAATTCTATGACCCTGCTTCAGAGTTATGAAGGACCTTTCCTTGAAATTTTCACATTTTTCTCTGCTGAATTCTTTTTTTCAGCCATTATCACATTAGCCTAAGAAAACAGAACATGAGAATCAAACCACCCCCCACCCCCAGATAAAAACAAAACAAAACAAAACAAAAAACTGAAGCAAAAAGAGGGACCAAGTTTGTAGTTTGTAGATCATCTCATTAGTCTCACTACCTTGAAATCTTTATGTCCAGCTCTTGTGGGCCAGAGCTTGTTTTCCTATCATGATGGTAGAGATAAGTTCCTGGACCTTATGGATAATTTCAGGGAGATATGTGATTCTAACCTCTGAATGCCAGGCTGACTTTGACAATTCATAGGCTAGCTTTGGGAAAAACAGCCTTTGATCATCTCAGCTGGAGCTAACTTTATTAGGAGTGCTTATTGAAGAGTGTGCACACACTGTCCTTTTTGCCCACCCACCGTCTACCCAAGACGATGTAGTGGCACATGGTCTCTTCTGACTCACGGGAATCGTGCCTCAGGTTTATTTGATTTCTTATTAAAGTCCAGCTCCTTCTATAATGACTTGTCAGCCGCAGTCCTCATCACTTAATTGTCAAAGGAGCAACACACCAAGATCAAAGCAGCTGAGACGATAGAAGAAAAATATTAGGATAGCAAAAAGAAAAGAAGAGAAGGAACAAAGGAGGGAAGAGTACAGAGTAGAATGGGATTATATCATGACTCCAGGGTATCTCCTTCTATTGCTTTATGTCTATTAAACCTTCACAGCCAAGCACCTTATATACCTAAGATTCGTGGACAACATGGGGCTCCTGGGCAAGTTATACTGCATATCCCCAAAGAGAGGCCAGTAAACTTTCAGGGGCTCAGCCATGACTGCTGTCTCTGGACTTTGAATACACATTTCCCACTGGGTTCTGTTTGGCCACTGCCTGGCTTCGCAGCTGTGCTGATTGCTCAGTAGGGAATGCCATGTCTGTTCTCCAAAGGAATTTAACAAATTAACTATGAACAAAGTCACTTGGACATGACATAGATTCACACATGCTGTGTCATGCCAAGGAGAAGCTTGTCAGCTTGCTGTTTTCACAGATATGAAAAGAAAATTCCCAAGACCCACCAAATGGATGGAAATACAACTATGTTTAGAAAAGAAGTCAGGAGATGAAATGAGAGAAAAGGGCAGCACTGCAGGCCAAGATGAAAATCCGTAGCTAGACCTACATTAACAAGGTCACACAAAAAGTGTATTAGTGATAGGAAAAAAAGTTTACATTAAGTAAATCCTCACAGATTAGTATAATATCTATATACATACAAAGATATATGCAATGATTTTAAACCAAACAATAAAAGAGGAACTATTTGACAGAATGCATGGTTCCAGGGTTTGTGTTTGGTATTTTATGGACATGATCTTATTTTAATTCATACAATGATAATTCATACAATAAAGTACATGTTAGGGTGGGAAGATAGTGGGGAAGACTGAAGCTCAAAAAAAGTTAAAGAAGTTAAGTAAGTGCAAAGTTCACATGTTGTATGATTTTATTTATGTGAAATATTCAGAATAGATAAATCCATAAAAATGGAAAGCAGATTAGTGGTTTTCAGGAGCTGGGAAGAAAGGGGAATGGGGAGTGACTGCTTAATTGGTACAGATTTCCTCTTAGAGTGAGGAAAGTGTTTTGGAATCAGATAAAGGTAGTGATTACACAACTTTGTGAACATACTAAATGTTACTGAACTATACACTTTAAAATGGTTAGTTTTATGGTATGTAAATTTTATACCAATTAAAAGAAGACGTTACATAAATTTGTCTAGAATTACACAGCCACTAAGTGATAGGGCCTAGATTGGAATCCAAGCTTGCCTAAATCAGGTTCACAACAAAAGATGAATAATAGATAAATTCATCAGTGGTTCCTATATAGAATTAACTGTACTTCCAAACATATAGTATTCTTATATTGACCCTGGCACTTGGTGTACGCCACTTCTTCCATATCATTTCTCCTCAGTTCACCAGCTCCAGACAGTCACCTGATTAACTTATCCTGTAGGATTCTTTCTGGATCACCATGACCATAACAGACACTTGCATATATTATTTACTGGGCTGTATTTTGGCCCTAATTTATTTGTGAGACAAAAAAAAAAAAAAGGTTTATCATGATGGTTAAGTTCAATGTCCTGATTAGTTAAAAGCAAGAACTAAATTATTGCCAGAGTGTATTTTTATAATGACTATCTCTAGGTAGTGGAAGATCATTTTTAAATGCATTTTTAGATTTATCTTTATTCTCCAAATTTTCTATGTCAAATGTAAATAAGCATTAGATTCAAAAAAAATTCTTAAAACTTTCTATCAACTTTAATACATTCATGGTGTATAGAAGTATATTTAATTTTGTCATAACCCCCATCATTATTGTCCTTGTGTTATTTTCAAACACCATCACTGAAAACGCAAAAGAAAATATTTATTTGCTTTATTACATTTATCTTTAATTTGTAGTACTTCAATACTGTTTGTTAAAAACAAAAAATTAAAAATTATCTAATCTTAAATTCATATTTTAAAAAATCATATTTTTAGCTATGTTATAGGTTTAAAGGGCTTTGTGAACTGGACTAAAATCCAACCAGCACTAATACATTGTTTGTGTGGGTAAATATAGCCTCAAATCTCAACAATCCACATAGAAAAACTCTAAATACAAACCTGCTCAAGTGGGTAACTGCCTGTGCTGTTTGTCTCCCACGGAGCCACTGGCGCTATTGTGGATGAGGTAACCAAGGTCAGAGGGGTTAAATGATGTACTGGAAGCCTCACAGCTAATTATTGCCAAGTTTAGCACTCAATTCTTCAGAAGCACTAATTTCTCAATCACAAATTTAAAGCATAACCAATGTTGGGGAAGTGACGTTTATTTTCCAAGAGAATCGGAATATTTTCCACACGCTTGTACAGGAGACACCTCGTCCCCTGCAACTGTTAACAATCTGCCACTTTCTAGTTATTTTAAGTTGGGCCCTGTCAACTTTACTAATATTGCAGAACGCTGATCTCCTAAAGGCCAGGAACAGTTTGCCAGGAAGCAGCTATGGCAGCAAAGCACAGATAAACGAGCTAGAGGTCATAGATGGCACTGGATTTTCATGATGAAACTGCACAGCCATGTTTAACACTGCATAAATTCCTAGATTGGGACAAATAAAATTTTGATTGATTACAATAAACCCTTAAATGAAAAAGCAGTATGTTTTTGTTTGACTTAATTTGAAGCATACTAAAATTGTACTCTATTTCTACAAGGAGTGGATAGCAAGAATGTTCAAGGGGCTCAGCCTATTTTTTAAGCTGTCATTAGAAATGATTAATATTTAAGAGAAATCAATAAAAATTGAATTTGAAAAAAATCAATATTTAAGCAAAAGCATTACAAATCACATGACTAACATTGACACCCTTCGTATATTAAAAAGGTTTGTTTTTCTGTGGCATGTGGGTGAAGCTGCAGCTGTATGAAGCAAAATTCTAAAGTGGTGATGTATTAGTGGGAGCCATAGGGATAAATCATTTTGAAAATCAACCTCAGTCCTTTAAGAAAAAGAAAAGCATTGGAATAAATGCCAGCAAATATTAAATCTCACTGTCAAATATATATTAAATGTAAGTATATATGGATTTGTACATACATCTATTTCTAGCAATCTTTCTTCCACCCCTTCTTGCTCACACAGTGTCTATGTCCAAAAAGCAGTTGTGATTATTTAAAATGGTAAATATAGTTGTATTTCATTTTAGTTGTGATACATGAAAAGAATAACAGTATTGCTAAGTTCAGAAACCATGCTACTCTCACAACCCCAAAGGACTCTCCAAACAAATATATACTCTTTATAACTAGTTATAACTTCATCCTCAATTTACTGTAGGGTTTTCTACCCTGGTGACCTAAACCAGATCATGCATGAGCTGCACAATCTCTTCTTGTCCCTTCAAACATTAGTGTCCCCAAAACTGGGCCCTTCTCTAGTTTGTACCTCACTTTTTAAGAGCAGCCTAGTCTCATCCCAAGAGACATGCTACCCTAGCAATATCTGCCTGTCCTAACTACATGTGACCCAAGAAAAAACAATGGAAGAGAACATTTGCATTTATTCTTCTATTTATAATTCTCTTACTACACCCCCCCATTTTAAGATCACTTCTATCGTTTCACCCAGATGTCTTTTCACCCTCGTGCCATTTTGCTCTTCCCCATGTTCACTCTGTCTTAGCCAAAGTGGCCTCGACAGACAAAGAAGCGTTTGCTTTCTTAAAGGTCAATCCATCTACCAAATACCTCTTCTGTGACATGTGTTCTTAGCCCGAGGTTGTTAAGAGACTTTGAAATCTAAATCCTTCAAGCATTAGTAATACAGGTTTTCTTGTTGCTGTACATGGGTATTTCTGCTAATTAAATATTATCTCTATTAATAAATGGGCTAGGTCTTGACCCAAATAAAGTGCTGAGATATACACACAATTTAAAGGTGTAAACCAAAATGTATCTGAGACAGATCTTAATTAATTTAGAAGTTTATTTCCCCAAGGTAGAGATAAAGGAAAAGATAAAGGATCATGACCTATGACACAGCCTCAGAAGGTCCTGAGAACCAAGGTGATTGGGTTGCATCTTGATTTTATATATTTTAAGGCACAGAAGTTATAGGCAAAGACATAAATCAATACAGGCAAGGTATACATTGGTTCGGCCCAGAAAGATGGGACATCTCAAAGCAAGGATCTTCCAGGTCATAGGTGGATTAAAACATTTCCTGATTCGCGGTTGGCTGAAAGGGTTAAGCTCTGCCTGAAGAGTTGAAATCAGCTGGAGTTAAGGTAATGGAGGGGTTGTAGAAGCCAAGGTTCTTACTATGTAGATGAAGCCTGCATGTAGCAGGCTTCACAGAGAATAGATGTGAATGTCTCACTGGACCTTAAAAAGTGTCAGACCTCATAAAGGAAGGAGATTCTCTACAGAATGCCAGTGTCTCCCAAAAGAGACAGCTTTGCAGTGCCATTTCAAAATATGTCAAAGAAATATATTTTGGGGTAAAAGACTGATCTCCTTCAGGGCCTGCTCTCTGTCATATGATGTTATTACAGAGTGAGAAATTTGATGTCTTATTGCTGCAAAGAGTCTATTTTATCTGTGCTAAGATCTTTGTTTTAATGTTAATGATGATCAGTTGTGTCTAAACTCCAAAGGGAGGAGCGTATAGTGAGACATGTCGAACTTCCACGTCCTCATCATGACCTGAACTAGTTTTTCAGGTTTGTTTGGATCCCCTTGGCCAAGAGGAAGGTCCATTCAGTCAGTTGGGGGCTTAGAATTTTATTTTTGGTTTACAAAACAAAATAAAAAGGTGCTTCTAATATGATAGACATTTTACCATAATTGAATAGTTATATAGGAAGAATAAAAGGGGACTGGAGAAAATTATAGTATTATGAGTATAAATATTAACTTGTTTGAAATTCTTCTGGGGTGCTTTCGAGAAGGAGACTTTATATTTCCTTACTTTTTTTATTCTGAGGCTATTTAACTTCTTGCCAATTACTACATACAGTTCAGTCAATCCAATTGCCTTTTAGTTAGAAATTAATCTTTGAGACATTCGAATGGACTAGTTTTTTAAGAACCTGTAGAATATGACAAAATGCAAAGTCAGCTGAATGATTGACTTTGTTAGGAAGAATATGGTCAACATCTATCTCCTGAAATATCATTGAATCAACCCTGCTTGTAGTCTACTGAAAACAATGTGAACTGGGATTTTTTTTTTGCTCCAGGCAAAGGCCACTATCTCTGTCTGAGTCTCCAGTTCAGGAAGATCATATATAGAATGGTGGAAAGCAAAGAACACCTACCCAGTTAGCAAAATCATATGAATCAAATAGAATGATCTTTTGGATAGCAGAGGTTATTTCCAGCTCAATCTCATATCTAGAATCAAATAAAATGTATTTCTATTGTGTGTTCTTATTCTAGGCACTATGTTATTATTAAGTTAGTTCACTCATTAATGCATTTATTAACTCATGCATTCATTAACATACACTTAAGTTCTACTGTATGACTTAGTAAGAAGACACACATTTAAACAAATAACTAGAGCATATAATGACTATAATGGGGGAAAATCTTAGGATATTTTGGGAGCAGAGGGGAGAGATGTTTAATTCACATTGGAGGGAGAGGTCAGGCATGACGTTAAAAGAGGAGACACCTGAAATTAATTTTAGAGCTTGACTATGCAGAAGGGTCAGAGGAAGCATTAGTAGGTGAATGGATGTGAGTCCCAGAATGTTGTATGTGCTGTTTCGTGTTAGAATAGCACTTTCAAGGCTAGGCAGTGCAACAGGTGAGGCTGGAATGACAAGCAAGGTCTAGCACACTGACGGCTTCTTTGCAATTCTAAGGAATTTGGATCATATCCAATAGGGGATGCAAAGCCTTTGAAAGATTTTAATTAAAGGAGCATTAAGTCAGATTTGAAATATGGATTATTTCCTATAGTGCCTCAGTGGTGAAATGGGATTTGAGGTAGACAAAACTAAAGCAGGAAAGTGATTCCAAAGCTGCAGTAGTAACCCAGGTAGAGATATAAGGAGAGTCAAAAACTGGAGGGAGGTGATAAGGTTGGAGACAATGGGGTGAATTCGATAAATATTTAAGCTATAAAATTTGCAAGACTTAGTGAGTAATAATAAATGGGTGTTGGCATTGGAGTCTGAGGAAAAGGGCAGCATCAAGAATGATAGGTTTCTAATGTGGGTAACTGTTGATGTCACTCAAATGGAATAATAAAGAATCTACAATGGGTGTCTTAGTCATTGTAAGCTACTATAATACAATAGCATGGACTGGGTGGCTTAAACAACAAACATTTATGTCTCACGGTTCCGGAGTCTGGAAATTTGAGATCAGGGTGCTAGTATGGTCGAGGTCTTGGTAAAGGCCCACTTTCCTGGTTTAAAGATAGCTGACTCCTCATTGTACCTTCACATGTGCATTGGGGGTGAGGGTTGACAGAGAGAGACAGAGAGAGAGAGAGAGAAGCAAGCTCTTCCCTTATCTCTTCTTGAAAGGCTTTAATCTCATTTATATGGGCTCTACCTTCATGACCTGATCATCTCCCATAGGCCCCACCTCGAAACACCATCACATTGGAGGTTGGACTTCACCATATGTATTTTGTTGAGGCACAAACATTCAGTCCATTAGCAATGAGAGACACGTTTAGGAAGAAGGTGTTCTTTTCAATCAGTTTGAATTTTGAACATTATGAATTTCAGTTACATAAAAAGTATCTGTCCTACCAGAAAGCAGTTGACTTTAGGAACTTGAAGCAGCAGAAAGTCTGCTCTAGAGATAACATTGTAGAAATGACCAATATAATGACAGTGGCTTAAAATACAAAAGCAGATGAGATCCAATCCCCTAATTCACTTTGACAATGAAAATATGGTTTTGCTCCCATAAACACAGCTTACAGTGGTTGCTTTTTAGCCAGGCTCTGAAAAATACTAGGGACATTTTTTATTTTTTCCTCCTTTCTTGAAAGAATATTTTAATGACTCTTTTTCAAATTGTGTATCATGGCTGTTAATGGATTGTGAAATAAATTTAGATGATTATGATAAATATTCATTTTGAACCAAATGGAAGAGAATAAAATAGACTGGAATAGAGAAGTCTAGAAAATAAAGTGCATAGTATTAATCTCATATAGTACTTTTGTATGTGTGTATAAAATTAAACAAAATTTAAGAATACTTACCCTTACTTTATGAGATGCATCTTACTATAAGAAATGTTTTCTCTTCCATTATATTATATTCTGCATGTGTGTGTGTGTGTGCGTGTGTGTGTGTGTGTGTGTTTGCTCTGGGTTGGAGTGTTTGGGATGTAGTCAAAAGCATTTGAATTATCTGGCCCAGACTTAGAGAAATTCAAAGTGGTCTCTTTTAGATTGGGAGAGAAAAGAGAAAATAAAGAGTACTCTAAAAGTAGCAAGTTAATATTTAACACAGTCAGTGTACATTTGTATTTAGGAAAACAGCTAGAAGTAAGGCAGAGGCAAACAAGTCATAGGTTAAGAAAGAGGCAGAACTACATACAAGTAAAATAAATAATGTTATGCCAATGTGTATAGAACTCTGGTTTAAATAAAGTTTATTGTAATAAAAAAGTAGATAAGATCAACTAAGAATATGGTATAAAGGTAGGGCTGGGGGAAGTACTGGATTAAAGGTGAAGCCTTAAGGTACATCAGAAAAATATTGGTGAAGTAAGAAGTGTCCGCAAAGCAATTTGAGCAGCAATTATTAGAGTTATAAGGAGAGGCAAAGGAGTGGGCTGTCATTAAAGACAAGAATAGTAAAGAGATTCAAGATTCCCCTAAACTCTGCAAAATCCCCACTTCCAAAATCTCATAGGAGAGGTTGTCATAAAAATGTCAAAAAAGTGAATGTCTGGTTTGGTTTCCTCTTCCTTTGTAAAGCCTTCCCTTCGACCTGTATTTTATACTTTAAATTAAAGTAAATTAAAATTAATTTTTAATTTAAAGCTTTATAACTTGAACGCAAATAAAGATTACAAAACTAAAATGAGGAATCATGACCTAAGAAGGTATGGGTTTTCCTCTGACCATGGAGGAGCTGAGAAAATCATTTTGTTAAAACTTCTTATCAGAGGATTTGATTAAACTTTGGGTGAGAGGAAAGCCTCAAATATCAACAGCTTTAGAAATACAGAAATTTACTTCTCTGTCTGTTGGTCAAGAAGATCCAGGGAAGATATGGAGCTCCACAGTGATATTGACCCAGGCTCCATTGGGTGTGACTTTCATTCCCAAGATCATCTCATTATCAAATATGGTAGCAGGTGTGGGAAGTGGAGAAAAAGGGCACATTCCCTCCCTTTAAGGACACTTCTCAGAGTTCCATGCATCACTTACACATATGTCCCATTGTACAGTTTTTAGTCACATGACCACACCTAGCTAGAAGGGAAACTAGAATATATAGCCCTTATTCTGAGCTGTTTTGCTCCAAGCTATAAATCTAGGGTTCTATTACTAAAAAATGAAAGAAGAAAAGAAGAGCTATTGGACTAAAACTAGCAGCTTATGACAGCAGTTTGTTATTCTCTTAAATTCTATATAAACTCTGTATACCATAACAGAGTCCAAGCAACTTTAGAGTACCATTATCCAAATTAAAAACAGTCCTCTGTCTAGAGTGGTCTTTCTTATTCTTCCTAGGATGCAATACTTTCTGCGCCAAAAGTGAGAAAGTCCTGGGCAAAATGGGGTGAGGTTTGCCACAGGGAAAGATTTCCAGATTTGAATGGAATAGGGCAATTTCATAAGTCATTTCAATCAGGCAACAGATTTGTACTATTAATGAAGAAGTTAATAAAAACAAGACATGAAGAAGTTAATAAAAACAAGACCCCCCCCCCCAAAAAAAAGAACTAGCTGTGTGCCACTCTACCTTTGACATAGTCAAAAAATTTATTTTCATATTTTCAACAATACTGCCACTCCTAAAATCAAGCTTGGAATGACTATTTGAAATAAGTTTTCAAAGCCTAAAGCTGGTTTATGTGAATATTCTATGTGGTAGAAAATCTCCATCTTTGCCATCTTTGCCGGCAGATTTCATTTCTCCAAATATCCAAGACTCATTTGGAGGCAAGTCTGGTAAAGAAGGTTAGGCAGGAAAATACTCTTAACTGTAACTCCAAAACACACTTTAGGAAATATTTAAGCATTGACAATATTGTTGAAATAAGACTTAAGTCTCCTCACAAGATGACTTCAAAAGCAAGTAATTGCAAAGAAAATGACTTCCTGCTTTACTGGCATACCCCCATATATTTTTCAAAAATCAATATAGTTCAATTAACACATAATGAAAGACTGCATTATATTTAATTGTTTTGAAAATAAGATTTTCTCAAGCATATCTGTATCTGAAACTTTTTTAAAAGGCATTTTAATTTTTA
Organism: Homo sapiens; assembly: GCF_000001405.40. Classification (NCBI taxonomy): domain Eukaryota; kingdom Metazoa; phylum Chordata; class Mammalia; order Primates; family Hominidae; genus Homo; species Homo sapiens. The sequence goes on along the minus strand of NC_000004.12, from coordinate 84,015,477 downwards.
GTAAACTTGCATTATTTTTAAATTGTGATTCAAAGCCAATGTTATACAAGAGATCGTTTCCATTACAGTTCTGGACTTGTCCTTAACTATAAGCCAAAGAGAGCCCAGCGAGTGGGGAAGGTCACTCCTGCACAACCTGCGATGGAGTAGGCTTCTCTTTAGCCACAGAGGGAGGAGAGGCCAAGGACCTGCTCCAACTTAATCTTTACTTGTCAAATCTGGACCATATTTTATTTCACAGAACCAGAAACAATATCTCAAAACACTTGCTGTAGGGAAGACTTCCAGATTTGAGTGGAATAGGGCAATTTCATAGGACACTTTAATCAGGCAACAGATTTGTACTATTAATGGAGAAGTTAGTAAAAACAAGTACCCCAATAAAAAACTACTTGTGAGCTGGCATTTTAGACCCTTTGGAGCTGAAGAGTTTGTTATTTTCATTGACATGTAGCCAAAGAAAAATAATTTTACTACTGAGAAAAGAAAATGCATTTTACCAACTTCATCATATATGAATACAAGCTTCTAGAGTGAAAACCTAGGAAACTAATAAGCAACTATTTGGCAAAGGGAAAAGAGGCAACATTTAGGTCTTGAAAGATTTTGCTCTCAAACTAAATTACATCTTATCCCTTGCTTTACGCAATATATATTTGATTCTGCTTAGATTTTTCTATTTGCCACAAAAAATGAAGACCTTTGATCTCACTCCATTGCTTTTCTGATGAACTCTTTTCCACCTTATAAATGGAGGTAATTTTTTGTTTCACTTTGGTTTTTATTGGAGTCAGTGTGGTGGATGCTAGCAGGATAGCAACTTCTGGCAACCACTTTTCTTGTGCTTTCTACCTTTGCCTAGCCACTTGTGTCTACCATAACCCTAATCAAGATATTGTCTCCCATTTTTCACATCTCTTCACATAAGGTATATATAAGAATAGTTATCTTTGTATAGCAGTTTGTAATTTGCAAAATGCATTCTAAATCAACATATCATTTTATGATCCCAATAACCCTACTAAGTTGCTATTTACTTTACCTGTTTTACAGACAAGGAAATTGAGGTATACAATGTTTAAGCCTCTCACTAAAGATCTCACAGCAAGGAAGGGGCTAAAAATTCAGTTTTTCTGGGCCTACATTCAACATTGTTTTCTAATGCCAAAGATTCTATTGAAAAGTTATCAGAATTCCTTTAGGCTGCTTATCGAGGACAAAACTGAAACCTGCTTTGTGTTGTTCATTCTGTTACTGTGAGAGAGATAAACTAAATATTGATGTTCTTCAGCAAAGATCAGCCAGAGTCTAAAAATGAACACCCACATGCACGCATACACATACACCAAGCAAGGGGAAGCAGATAGTTGATTCTCTTAGAGTAATATATGATTAAGCCTGTAGATCCTGTCCACAGAAAAAGGCATGTGCCTATATAAAAACATTTTCAGACAATTTCTGGGAATTCTCTAAGTCCCCTTAACTCATCTGTGTACAGCTGTAGATAGAACCCCTATTGCACTGAAACCTTTTCGTTCCCATGGACACCTAAATCTAATCTATTTTACCAATGAAATAGGCATTTTCTCATTCTCCTCTTACTGGGTTGCTCAAAAACCTTAGACTCTGCTTTCCATTCCTTCACTCATGAAACATTTTCCTTTGGCTTGTGTGAGGGCCCAGTAAGTTTCCCTCCTATTTCTCTGACTATCTCAGAGTTTCCTTCACTAGCATATTCTTCCTACCTGGTCGTTGGATGTTGGGAAGCCCTCAAGGTTTGGCTGTAAGATCTTCTCAATTTTTAATGATTCCCTAGATGACATTGTCAATGCCTGTGACTTGAATCATCAGAGCAAATAGATGACTCCCAAATTTCCAGCAAATGTATTTCCAGCCCAGGCCATTTTTGTGCATGTCAACTTAATAATCAATATTCCCTTGGAGGTGTCAAAGACATTTCTATCTGTACCTGTTCAAAATACAACTCATGTGTTGTTCCTACAACGTAGTTCCTCATTTCTATTCGATCTCAGTGGCTGGCATCAGATTCCTTCTAGTTTCACAGAGCAGACAGCTAGTAGTAGTAATGGTGTGAAACAACTGTTTATCATTGCCCTCAATCTAATCCATTAAGAAATACTGCCTGAGTATGTCTATCACTATTGCCACTGACCTCACCCAAGTGGACATGATGACTGGTGGGCAATAGCAGTAACCTCCTAATTGATTTCCCCATATCCATTCTTGACCACTTCACATTCATTCTTTAAGTTATGAAGGGAGTTTTGGAAAATGCATTCTTCCTTTATGAAAGGGAGCTTTGGAAAATGCAGTTGATCATTCCAGCTTCCTATGTAAGACACTTGAGTCATTTACTGATATCCTTAGGATAAAAAGTAGTATCTTTAATATGATCTTAAATGTGCCATGCATGATTAGCCTTACTCGCCACCTTTCTTACTTTTCACTGTATGCTGACCCATCACATTACCTCTCTTTCTGAATTTGTCATATGCCTTCCTTTGCTCAGGTCTCTTGGACAGCCAGTTGATCCCTTCTGCCCAGAATGCTCTTTCCTCCCCTTACCTGCAACACTCTCCTAGTTATCATCTATTCAACCTTCAGCACCCAGTTCAAATGTTATTCCGTTTCAAAAGCCCTCCCTGATTCCGCAGATGTAGATTAGCTTCTCTGCAATCCTTAAGTCTTTGTCTTGCTCTTTCTAGTATTCATCATGGTTTATATCTATGGATTTGTATAATTGTGTGATGATGCTCTTTCTTCCACACTGATATGAAAGCTCCATGTGGAAAGAGACTCCATCTTCTTTACACTGAGGAATAATTAATTAACCTATAGAAAGTGTACATCTTCATAGGCATACAGTTCAAGATACTATGGGCATTCTAATCAGGGTATAGAACATTTCCATCAACCCAAAAAGTACTTCTACACTCCCCATTAGTCAACCCCGCTAACCTCCAGGGTCGATTCTCACTCTGATTTCTATCGCCATAGATTAGCTTCTCCTGTTCTTGAATTTTTATCAATAGAATCACATAGTATGCATTTTTTTTTGGTCTGGCTTTTTTCATTCAACATATGTCCGTGGGATTTACTCATGTTGTGTTTATCAGTAGTTTGTTCTTGGTACTGATGAATTCATTGGGTGAATCTATCACAATTTGTTTGTTTAATCTTCTGTTAATGTACATTTAAGTTGTTTTTTGTTTTTTACTGTTATGACTAAGGCTGCTTTAAACACTATACAAGTCTTTTAATGGACATAAGTTTTTTAGGACATAGAACAGTGAAGACTGAGATGTAATTATTTGGTTTTATTTTGTTTATTTTTCAGAGATTATAAGCAATTTCTCCATGGCTGGAATTCAGTTGATCTGGGACTGAACCTATTTCTAATGGGTAAATACTTAGGAATAGACTTAAGCGTTTGTAAAATAAGCATATGTTTAACTTTATAAGAAAGTCTCACACAGTTTTCAAAGTCTTTGAACTATTTTACTATCTTACCAGCAGTGTATAAGAAGTTCCTTTTTGTGTCTTTTTTCTCCAATTGCTTTTGAGATTTTCCTTTATTTTGGTTTTTAATAATTTAATTATGACATCTCTCAATGTGGTTTCCTTGATATTTATCCTGATTAAGATGCATTGAGTTATTGGATTTATACATTATTACTTTCATCATACTTGGAAAATTTTTCAGTCATTATTTCTTCAAGTAATGTTTTGCCCTAGTCTCTTTTTCCTTTCTTTCTGGGACTTCATAGCTTATAATAGCCCTAAAGATTTGTTTGCCTGTGTTTATTTTCAGTGTTTTCTCTCTATTCTAGTTACTTTTTAAGTGATGTATCCTAAGATTTACTGATGCTTTTTTCCTCCTATTCAATTTAATGTTAATTCCACCCCATAAAATGTTGATGGTAGATATCTTATTTTTTATTTGTAACTTTTCATTTAATTATTTTTGAAAACTTCTATCTCTCTCCTGAAATATTCCGTATTTTCATCATTACATCTCCTTTTTTCTGTAAATCCTTTTGCATTTTTATAATAGTTGTGTTAAGTTACTTCTGCTAACTGGGCCCTCTGTCAGTCTTCTATTGAGTGTATTTACTTTTGATTATATATCACATTTTCGTGCTTTCTCACATATAGAAACTCACATGTACTTTTTAGGACATGAAACAGTGAAGACTGACGTATAATTATTTCCTTTTATTTTCTTATTTTTCAGAGATTATAAACCATTTCTCTATGGCCAGAATTAAGTTGATCTGAAACTGAACCTTAGCTTTCATTAGACTGAGCTTATCTGTGATTAGCCCAACTTCCAATCTCCCATAGCAAGATTAACTATTTGACCTTGTCGATATTAAGCTAGAACAAAGTCGGGTTATAGTTTCAAAGACTTTTAATTCCCCTTTTATTCAACTTAAGCAGAGCCTTAGAATTCAAGCCTCCCGAATGTGCAGAAGTTTGCAACTTCTCTCTGATTTCCAGATCTTCTGCCACTGCCACTTTCCTGGCAAAATTTGTGGTGGGAAAATTTTTTCAGGTCAAACCACTTGTTTTTGGGATCTCTGTCTCTTTTGGATTCCAACCTGTCCCCAGCCCAAATTATTGTCTAAGAATCAGCTGATTTCTTTTCATTACTGCAATGTCTGTGTGCATATGTCAACCTAATTCTTCCATTCTCTCCACTCAAATTAGGAAACTGCCTTATGGTATAGAAGCTGTCATGGTTTTCTGCTCACCTGTGAAACTTTCATTTCCTTCTGGAATTCAGTTTATCAGGGCTTCCTTTGTTCCTTGCTCTTTGCTAGCCCCATAGAAAATATTGTTTTTTATTTCTGTCTGTGGGTTTCTTGCATGTGGGTTTCATCAGGGTGAAGGTCCTTTGCATCTTTCTACATCTCAGCTGGCAGTAAAACGCCAAAATCATGTCTTTTATGCTCACCATTAAATCTCTAGTTATGGAAACAAAGAAATCTCTCTAAAATATATGTAGACCGTAAATTTAAATAGAGTGAAGTTGAATCAAGTATGTGGAACAAATAAAGTGTGATATTCACAGTACACGGGAAAAAATAATAGATGGTAGTCCAAGACCAAAATATTGTTAAGGGTGTTTTTAACCAGGGTGTTGTCCTTGAAAAGTCAAGTGATGCTTGGTGGTAATATTCATGACCAGGCACTACTTCTAGATCAGAACAAGTACGTAGTTAGGGGAATTCTCTCAGGTGACAACATTAGATAGATAAAAATTTAGGCCTTGAGAAAAATGGCAATAACTCTTGAATCCATCATCCTAATGAATGAAGACCATAAGGGAAACATTTCTTATGAAGAATATACCTGCCCAATGGCTCAAAGCTCTCCACTAACATGGCCTTTTTGATGAAAGGTTGTGTTATCCACAACTAGGTTGCTTTTCTTTGTTTTTTCTTTTGCTTCAGTCCCAGATCCTCTGTATCTATCCCATTTACTTGGAAATCTGAAACTTTTAGGATCTTACCAATAGTTTGAGAGGTGATTGAGCCTGCACATGAAGTGCAAGTGTCCCCATGCTGTGTGGAAGGAAAATAGGTAAAGTCTAGGAATCAAGCCAAAGCTGGGATCTTGCCATCCACGTGGAAAAAGAGTTAACCTATTAGAAGCAATGCATGGAATAATACTCTTTATTCCAAAACTTCTCGGGTTTCCTAATCTAGAAAGCATATGCAGATTAAAATGATAGAAGATATTCAGTCTTTCCATTACATATTATGCCCCACTATTTTTATTAAATTAAAAAGAAGTAATTTTTAAAAAATACTTGCTAGCAACAAATGGCATAGAATCTATCTGGATCCCATCAAGTACTGTTCAAGTGCCCCTTTATCTCCCATATGCAGAGTGTGCCACATGTCCTAACCCCCAAAGGAAAGCTATGAATGACTCTGAGCCAGCCGGGCGTCAAATAGCCTTTATCAGGTCCATTCTCCACTGGTGCCAATGATACTACTGTAATACTAAAATGCTTATATCAATAACATTGTATTGAAGTTGATGTTGCTATGCTGAAATTGGCATCATCTTATTGGCATCAAGCCTATTGGCCTAGCTCCTCTGTGGGCAATCATTATTGCATCTAAAGGATTTATTCAATGTCTGTTTCAGTGCATTTCTCTCCTGGACCTGCTTTTTAACATCTGACAATACATGATAAGCAGTAGTGGCAGCCAAAGACCCAGATAGTGAAATCAACTTTCCATAAGGATATGCGTATGTGGAGAAAAAAATATGTTTATTGCAAAGAGGTGATTGAATAGAATATTGTGAAAGAAATGAGGTCAAAGGAAATGTTCTCCTCTTTCAACAGGCCCAGAAAGTTTTCCCTAAAGTAGGAAGATGTCAGAAACTCTAAAGAAAGAAAAGATAGTATATGAAACATATGATGATTACGTGTGAGTTTCAAAGGTTATGTTTCACAAAATGTGTTCAACTGATGTAAAAGGGCAACTATATGATCTACAGAGAATGGAGAATAATTATCCCATTTTTATTGATTACCCCAACTGACTAATAGAGCCCAAGCATACTTCAAGCAGACACATAGGTCCTTACTGCTTTATCATGAATTTACATAATGACTGGCTGGTGAGGGTAGATGTAAATAAGTTTAGACATAAAAGGTCATAATTGGATCCACTTCCACATAGACATTTTCTTTGCTTCTGACTCTTCAGTCATTATTTCATGTCATGCCTTTAGCTTTAGACACTGTGGACAGTCCTCTGTACTACTTAGGTCAACTCTTTCCTTGACACAAACCTTGTTCCCCCTATTTCATTGACAAAATATCAACTACTTTGTCTAAAGCTCTGATTTAATTTTTAAAAACATATAAGTCTAACAAAATAAGAATGACTTAGGGATAAATCTAACAAGATATGTAAAAGATCTATATATGAAAAACTATAAAACTCTGACATAGGAAATAAAAGATTTTTAAAAATTAATATAAATGTCATGCTCATGGATTAGAAGACCCATTATTATTTAAATGTCAATTCTTCCCCACTTGATCTGTAGAGTCAAAAAAACTCAATAAAAATTCCAGAAAGTGATTTTGTGAATATTGATAGGCTGTTTCTAACATGTATATACAGAAAGCCAAAAACCCAGATGAGTCAACACAATACTGAAGAAAAAGAACCAAAGTTGAAGAACTGGCACTACCCAACTTCCAGACTTAGTATAAAGCTATGGTAGTCAAGACAGCATGGTAGTGGGGGGCAAAAGAACACATAGATCAATAAAACAGAATAAAAATTCCAGAAAGAGATTTATACAAAAATAGGCTCTTCAATAAATGATAATGGAACAATTAAATGCAAAATAATGAATCCAGGCACAAACCTTACACTTTTCACAAAAACATCATTCAAAAATGGATTGCAGACCTAAAAGCAGAAAACTACAAAACTTTTAGAAAATAACAGGAGAAAATCCAGGTGATCTTAGGTTCAGTGATGATAACTTTTTAGATACATTAAAGGCACAAACCATGAAAAATTGGATTTTATTAAAATTAAAAATTTCAGTTTTTCAAAAAACACTTTTAAGAGAAAAAACTAGCCACAGACTAGGAGAAAATATTAGCAAAATTCATATCTGATAAAAGGCTTGTTTCCAAAATATACAAATAATTCTTAAAACTAAACAATCAGAAAACAATCCAATTAAAAAATGGGCAAAAGATGTTAACAGACATTTCATTAAAGAAGATATACAGATGGCAAATAAATGTATGAAAAGAAGCCCCACATGTTATGTCATTAGGGAATTGCAAATTGAAACAATGAGATACTACTACGTACTTATTAAAATGGCTAAGAAAGATTTTAAAAACTGCCAATACTAAATTCTTACAAGGATGTGAAGCCACAGAAATTCTTATTCATTGCTCGTGAGAATACAAAATAGTACAGCCACTTTGGAAGACAAAGCTAAATTTAGTCTCACCATACTAAGCAGCAATCATGCTCCTAAGTATTTACCCAAATGAGTTGAAAACATATCTACACAAAAACCTGCACATAGATACTTATTACAGTTTTATTTATAATTTCTACCAAAATGTTCTTCGATAGGTGAATAGATAAACTGTGGCACATCCATAAAATGGAATTCATTCAATGATAAAAAGAAATGAGCTATCAAGGTTCAAAAAGTCATGAAAGAACCATAAATGCACATTGAGAATTGAAAGAAGCCAGTCTGACATGGCTACTTACTCTATGATCCAATTATATGACGTTCTGAAAAAGCCAAAACTACAGAGAACAAAAAGATCACTGGTTGCCAAGTGAAAGGAAAAACAAGGAGAGGAATAAATATACGAAGCACAGATAATTTTTAGCTTGGTGAAATTAGTCTGTATGGCACTGTAATAGTAGATACATAACATTATATGTTAGTCAGAATCTACAGTATGTTCCAGCACAGAGTGAACATTAATGTAAATCAATTTTTTAAAAAAATTTTAGGAAGAGGATCTCAAGAAATAATGAAAACTATGACAAGAAAATCTAACTTTATGAAACAAAGTTGGGAGACTAGATGCTGACCTAAGTAACTTTGGAAATGAATGTAGTTTGTAAGATTGAAGGCAACAAAAACTGTACATTAATGTACTCTAGTTGATAAAGTTGTTTCCCTTAGAGGTCTAGGTTAAAAATTCTCATTATATATACTGGAATTAACCAAGTAAATGGATGATAGATGGTGGAACCCAGGTTATTCACTTATATAATGGTAATTAGCAGAGAAGGAGGCTAAAATGATCCATGTGCTAGTGAATTTGAGTTGGAGACATGAGAAAAACATCATGTTTAACTTAATGTACAGATTTTTACATGTAGAAATATATATATATGTCTGTATATATACACATGTTAATACACACATGTATTTTTGTTCTGTTAGCTGAGAGGATCTAAAAGAAATAGTACCCTAGCAGCAACAAGCACACCTAGCACCTTGACCTTGTTTTCCCATTTTAAAACAGTTTCTAATACTGTTTTCCCATTTTAAAAAAGACTGTGTTCTTGGCAAAATGGCTGGTTCTAGGACTGGGACAGGAAATATACAAGATGAGCCTTGAACATCTCATAGTGTCAGACAGTAAGGAAGTTTTCAAAACACAAAACAGAATTAAAAAACACATTGATGGGGGTATGTCAAGAGGTCATTGGAGCCAACTGAAGAAGCTCCCAGTGGCTAAAGCTGGAACAATTTGTGCAAGAAAATAAATAAAGTAGTATTATAACTCAAAGTACAAAATAAATATCCATGCTATTTATAAATATCCTAATAAATATCCATGACATAATTATATAAATAAATGATTAAATAAATTAATAACTGGGGAAAAAGAGACAATCTCCCATGCAGAAGCCATACACACCATATACAAAAGTTAATTCAAAATAGATTATAAACCTAAAGATTAAACATGAAACTATAAAACATCTGAAAAAAATAAGATATGTGTACAATCTTATGTTAGATAAAGGTTTCGTAAGACACAAAAATCACAAAGTGTAAAAAAAATTGGATTTTATCAAAAGTAAATTTTGTTCTCTAAAAGACACTGTTACTAAATAAAATGGCAAGACACAAACTGAAACAATATTAACAAAATATGTATTTGATAAAGAAAATCTTTGATTGTATCCAAAATATGCAAAAACTACTAAACTCAAGAATACGACAAATAACCTGACTTAAAAATGGGCAAAAAAAAAAATTTGAACAGATATTTCACCAAAGAAAGTATATAAATTGCAAATAAGGGTCTGAACATATGTTCGACACCATTATTCATTAGGAAAATTCAAATTAAACCCACAATTAGATACTGGTACACAATTTCTAGAAGGGCTAACATTAAACAGATTAAATTATCAAATGTTAGTGAGGCTGTGGAACAACTGCAATGCTCATATACTGCTGATAGGAATGTAAAACTATACAACCACTTTGGGAAACAACTAGGCAGTTGCTTATAAAGTTGACATACATTTACCATATGACCCAACAATTCTACTCTTTGGTATTTACCCAAGTGAAATGAAAACACATCTGTCATTTGCTGTACAGGTTATTTCAACACCCGGGTATTAAGCCTAGTACCCATTAGTTATTTTTCTTCATTCTCTCCCTCCTCTCACCCTCCACCCTCTGAAAGGCCTGTGTGTGTTGTTCCCCACTATGTGCCCATGTGTTCTCATCATTTAGCTCCCACTTATAAAATACCACATGTTCTTATAAGTGAGAACATGTGGTATTTTGTTTTCTGTTCCTTTGTTAGTTTGCTAAGGATAATGGCCTCCAGCTCCATCGAAGTCTCTGCAAAGGACATGATCTTGTTCTCTTTTATGGCTGTATAGTTTTCTACGGTGTATATGTACCACATTTTCTTTATCCAGTCTATTGTTGATAAGCCTTTCGGTTGATTCCATGTCTTTGCTATTGTGAACAGTGTTGCAATGAACATATGCATGCATGTGTCTTTATCATAGAATGACATATTCCTTTGGGTATATACCCAGTAATGGGATTGCTGGGTCAAATGATATTTATGTTTTTAGGTCTTTGAGGAATTACTACACTGTCTTCCACAATGGCTGAACTAATTTAATAACAAATCTACACTTGTACCCCTGAACTTAAAAGTAAAAAAAAGAAAATATAATAAGAAAGAAGGAGATAAATACAGTCACTCAGAAATAACTGTTATGAACATTTTTGGAATATCTATGAATCAATCATCTTTTTATCTATCTTGTATGTATGTTAATGAATCAATCTATATTTGAAATCATATAATGCAAACTATTTTGAAATTTAATTTTAACTCTCCAGCACATTAAGAACATCTTTCTCAGCAAACTATTGCAAGGACAAAAAACCAAACACTGCATGTTCTCATTCATAGGTGGGAATTGAACAATGAGAACACTTGGACACAGGAAGGGGAACATCACACACCAGGGCCTATTGAGGGGTGGGGGGAGGGGGGAGGGATAGCATTAGGAGATATACCTAATGTAAATGATGAGTTAATGGGTGCAGCACACCAACATGGCACATGTATACATATGTAACAAACCTGCACGTTGTGCACATGTACCCTAGAACTTAAAATATAAAAATAAATAAATAAATAAATAATATCTTCTATAGTTTTAAAGTTGGTTTTAAAAATACAGGAAAGCCCTTTGCATGTGTTCCTTTTGTACTTAAAAAGGGAGGGAAGAAGAAATAAAGAAAGATTGAGGGATGAACTGAAACTCCTCACTGAACAGGCTTCTGCCACTAAGCACTGCTTAGGAAATTTTTTAACAATCACAGAAATTATTTTTAATTAGTTATATTTGTCCCATGTGGCTCACAGAAAAAAACGTTCAGTTAAAGTGAGAGATTTTGTAAATTTAACCCAGAAGAGAGTTGTTCGTATAACAAGGCCAAGCTTTTTATTTTGGAAGGAATAACATATAAACTTCAGTATTCTTGAGACTAAGTGGTCTTGAGAAGAAAATCAATTTTTTTGTGGCAGGAAAATATATTTGCTCTTAGACTATTAAACAGCAAAACGAGTGACAGCCATTGCTATTGGAGACCTGGAACGAGATTTGAAATATCTATTTCCCAGTGTCCTCTAGTACTGTGGACGAGGGTTCCCTTCTCTTCCCTCAGAGCCCACTAAAACAGGGGCTGCAGATCAGATTTTGATATCCAAATGCAAGCTGAGGATGCAAAAGGAGGCAATTAGGTTTGCAACTTTATTTTAGAATGAATCAGAAGTGACAATCTGTCGATAGATCATGTAGTCAAACCCAGCAGGAAAGAGCCCTGCCCACAGAGCGGGGACAGTGTAAAACTTCATGGTGAACAAGGTGTTGCTCCAGGGAAGGGTGAAGAATTGGAGCTATTAATGAAACAAATGTATTGCGATCAGCTGTCATGGGTGCAGTTATTCATGTACCTTCCCCGTGCCAAATCCACTCACTCTCATTCTAAGACCAACAAATGTCTTTTCCAGGCATGGTCTTAGGCTCAAAGTCCTGACACAAATCATGACAGTTCCCTGGACAAAAACTTCTGGTAGCTCCCCAGTGTATTTAGAAGTGTGTACAATGCCCTTGACAATCTGGCCTCAACCTTCCTTCCCAACATCAATCCCTACACATGCTCAGCCTCCTCCCCAGGGCAACCGATGTCTAGCCTTCCTTTATTACTTACATCCCATATATATTCTGCTCTTTTGTGCTTTCATTCCTCACACTGGTTCTTCCCTCTGCTTTTACTCTCCTAGGGAAACAACAGCTCTTTTTTTTCTTTAAGTTTTAGGGTACATGTGCACAACGTATGCATATGTAACAACAGCTCATTTCTATCACTAGACTGTAAGCTCCATAAAGGGAAGAAATAAAACTGATTCATATTTGCATCTTTAGCACCTAGCACAGGGCCTGGCACAGAATAAGTATCTAATGAACATCTGTTGAATAAACTAAAGCATTCAATTATAAAAATTGAATCCTTTGCAGACAGTTTAACTGGGAAAAACTTCATAGAATTTCTTCCCTAGGTCAATCCAGCTCTGTCTGGAAGTAGAATCCTAACCTAGGTGTTGCTTAGTAAGAAATGGCATTCAATTCATAATTTATGCAACTAGATATAGGCCTTTTGCTCTAATATCATATATAATATATATATATATGTGTGTGTGTGTGTATACACATACACACACAGACATTGTTTCTATTCATGGTCTATCCAAGAAGACTGAGAATCCAATTTATTAGAAGCCCCACTCTTTTCGGTTTGTGTTTCAGTGTACAAGGTTGGGGAAAGAAATGGGAAGACTTAAAACACAGTTATAACATGACAGAGGAAGAAAGGGAACAAAAGAATGTGTAGGGAATGATTAAGTGCTTCTGAATTTACACAGTGAAATATGGACAAGTTTAAATGTCTTTGCTGTTTGCTTCTTTTCAAACTGTGAGCAATTTCAAACACCCCATGCTGCTTCAAGATTAATTGAGTTCTACATGCTTTTAGCTTGCTTTCGGTACCAAGGAGAAAGGATTGCCACAGAATCTGTATTTGCCAGAGCAAAGAGAATATCTCATTAATGTGTATGATTAATAGCCATTTGTGGAGTGATTAATTGGTCATTTGACAATAAACTGAGACTATGTGCATGCTTTTGCTGGACTTCACATTTCACATCTAGAAGAAAAGGAGAGAAAGTCTTGTTTTTCTCTGCTTCCTTCCTGCACCAAGACTGGAAAAATCCAAAGGCCTTTGCATATTCTGGTCTTGTCTGATTTCATTTGGTTTGTCTTTAAGAACAATGGCCCTGAAATGGAAGCTCTCTAGCATGATTGATGGCTTCTCTTTCTGTCTGCAAGTTGGAAATTCAGAAAAGGATTTCTCCCCTCTAGGTCTTACTGCTTATTGGTACAAGAGTTATTTCCACTTTGCCGCAGAATTGATTTGCAACATTGGTGTATGAGTTTGTGTATTTTTCTCACTGGCCTGTCACAAAGCGTAAGTCAGCAAGTCTTCTGCAGTATGTTGGATTATGTAGCCAGGAACCTCCTAGTAATTTTTCCATTAAAAGGATGAGCATATTGTCATCAACTTTTTAGAACTGGAATCATCCAAATTCTGTACCATGACATTTTACAAACTATATTATTTAGTAGCACCAATTTTCCCCACATCCAATACTATCCATTGTGCTTCAGAAAGATTCCTGTATTCCTGATTGCCCACTCTATAAAATAAAAACATTAGGAAAACACTGAGGAATCAATGGCAATAGGCCTAAGCTTTCATCCTGCTTTTTTCCAAATGAAACCATTTATTTAATTCAAAGGAGGTAAAGAATACACAGAAAAAGGATGAATTCTTGCTTATCTAAACTGTTACAAAGAACCATTCATACCAGGATATACTGAATAATTCAATTAACCAAAATGATAACAGGAGAAGAAAAATCAAACCATAAACTCCTGATTTCTAGTTTATTGTTTAAGAAAAAAACACTTAAACATAGAAATCATCATCTTCCCCTCTACTTGTTTCTTTCCTCTCCTCCATCGCTATATAATTTGGCGTAGGATGTGTGGGGCAGGGGGTTTATCACCTGAAGGCTTTTTTGGTACAAGATGGAATAAAACAATGGAATAAGGTAAATGTTTTAAAAAGTGTAATTTGTTTGGGAGAGTCATCATAATGGTCAAAACAACAACAACTGGCTTTGGAATATGACAAAGCTGGGTTTGAATCTTGCCTTCACCGGTTGCTAATTGTATCGTGTGAACAAGTAACAATCTCATTAAGCTTCAGTGTGCTTTTTGGTAAAATAGACGTACTAGTAACCACCTCATAGATTGTGGTAAATATTATAAGATTAAGATTAAACCTTATAAAGTAAATGTTTATAAAATGTATAAACAGTGGCTGACACATAACTAAAGTTCCCTAAATAATTAGATACTGAATTCCATGTGTGTGCATGCACATGCTCATGTGTGTGTGTATGCAACACTTTTGGTACCATTTTTCACCATTTAGAGATGCAGCATGCCTCTACAGAACAGCTTCTTATACAACCATGTTGATATAGTTAAATCCAAGGGTCCAAGGGCTCTGGGCATATAGAGATCCCCTGAAGCAGATCTGCAGTCTCTGAACAAGCAAGACTTAAACTGATGAAAGAGAAAGAAAAAGTCTACTCTTCAGAACATCCTGTTACATAGACCTAATTTTAATTAGCACATTTCTAAAGAAGACTCAGACTAAGAAACACATCTTTTAGTAACTGACATGTTACTAAAAGGCTAACATGAAGGTCATATTAAGCTTTTTCCATGTTACCAGTACACACACACACACACACACACACGTATCACAAGTTGTACTCAATAGACATGGCTACATTACTATTTCCCAAAACACTGGAGGGAAAGTGAGTGGCCACCTGGAGTGAAAAGTTTGAGAAGAGCTAATATCTTTTCTTATCATTTTAAGACATACTTTCTTTTTATATTTAATGTCTTTGAAATCAGAGATGTCTTATAATCAATGGTGTGTCTTAGTTTAATTGGCAGCACTTTTTATTTCTTAATGGAACATAAAATATTAGTATGACATAATTGATGAAGTTTTAGATATGATGAAATATATTAAATTGTATGCATGAGTCAAGAGCAGACATTGCCACAAATTCTCAGGTGTTCCATTAGGTGGCTTTTGGCCAACCACCTTCTATTTTATTAGTCAACATTTAAAAGCAAAAAAGCTGTTATGGATTTGGGTAGTAGAATATGCCTCAATTTAATAATGATTTAATTGGGGACAGTATTAGACAGGGTAACAACTTTCTTGAAGATGTGATAATAATTTCTACAACAGTCTCCAAGAAATATGTATTATTATGCATACATAATAATAGCCTCATCTTCTGAGATCAGCACAGTAAACTTAATAGGAATTAATAGACTGCTTCAATGTCACTTGACAACTTCCATTACCAAATTTGCCATAAAACTAAATTATATATCTCCAAGAAAACTCAAGCGATATCATATCCAAGTCACGCTGTTATTTTATGTAACTTCAAGTGAGCAATAAATATCCTTTGATTTTTTGATTCACTCTAAGTGTCTAAATTCAAGTGAAATATTGCAGGTTAAGCAACTAGTTGACAATCCTCCCTTTTATTCTTAAGATTTCCTAAACTTCTGAATTCAAGCCTCCTACGATTATTTTTAAACTTAATGAATTTTTAATGTAATTCTTATTTTTTTCAACTAATGCAAATGGCATAATGACAAGATCACATGGATTATTTATAAATTGATAAGAATATGAGCTTAATCTTTGGCATGAATGATTCCTGCTTTAAGAAAACATTTTGCAGCAGTAAAGATTTTATAATAATGAAACAAGTTACTAAACAAAAATTATCTTTTCTTTCATATAGAATTTATCCTTTATATCTATTACTTAGGATTTGTCTACCTATAGATAAGAAGAAAAAGTGAGTTTTAAGTCTCCAGCTAAGTCATTACTGTGTTTTAATTCAATCATAGATATCTAAAAAATCTCTAGTAAGTAGAACTTTCACAAAACAAAGAATAAAAATGTCCTTCCTGAATCATGCAACTTAAATCAAAGTTGGGAAAATCAAATGGATTTCAAATTAATAATATATTACACTGCCTCTTAAATATGTTTAGACAGTGTAATACATTCACTAGTATACCAGTAGACTAGTAATATATACTATGTAACTTATTAAATAGGGAGAAAACAAAGACTCTTGTGTTAAGCTATAAAGCAACAGTAAGCACAGTAAGCCAATTCTAGCCTCATATTTAAAAGACTTTAATAATAATGAAAGTAGCAGGATGAATGGAATTAAATTATATGCAACTAATAGCAAGATTTTCCAAATGTCTAAAATTAAGACCAAATTCACAAAGTTCCAGATTAATTTAAAATTTGGATAAATATCTACAATGGACTTGAGTTCTGCAATTATTCTGTGGAATATAACTCAAGTATTCACTTAGAAGTTTTCATATTTAAAATAGCTAGAGTGGCATTTCCAAATGTGCTATACTATTTCTGGATTATACTTTCGGGGTGTGCTTCCGTGTATACATATGTGTGTGCATGTGGGTGCATGTGTGTTAGCTACATTAACAATGTGGCAACAACAAAGCTTTATCCATTACTCAAAACCCACTTGATTTCCCACCCAACCGTGAGAATATGACAAATGATGGAAGCCCAGTCAATGACTTGCTGTCTGTTTTAAGTTAGTACTCTTCTCTTGGCTCAATTGCTGTCTCCTGTGTGATATTATCCAAATTAGTTAGTTTTAACCTTTTTTGGATTCATACTCTTCTTTGAAATTATAATGAAAACAAGAAAATTTTCCTTTCAAAAATGTCCATAAATTCACATGGACTAAATCCCTATCCAATTTCAAGGGATTTGTAGCATTTAACATAATGGAATAGGCAGATGAAATGGGAGAGATGAGAGTCTGTGGCACACGGATGGTGTATGTCCTCCATCTGATTTTCACCATGGGACAATGTATGTCTACTGTTGGTTTTTTTGGTGTTTTGTTTTGTTTTTGTGTTTTTCATGGGTTTTTTGTTTGTTTGTTTTGCTTTAAAAGAAGCTGGAGCTTAAGATCATTATGTGAAATCTGCAGATTTTTGATATTGACAACTAATTTTTTTAAAAACATAAGATAAGACAACCATATTTAGAAACTCAGTATAACCAGTGAGTCTTCAGGTGTGTATAACTTCTGCCCAGAGACCCCCATCTTAAGACTCCTTATCAAAGCAGTAGAATTGCTGCAATCATTCCTAGAAGAGCTACTCCTACTTGTCTTGAAGAAAGGGAGGAATTGACAGCAATAGGTTTTAATGCAGTAACTTCAAGGTGTTATTTAAGAATGCCTCTAATCAAGGAAAGAGTCCTCTCATAATCTCAAATACACAATCCAATATTTCTGATATGGGCTATTCTCATGGATTCCCTCATCCTACCTTAAATACCTTCCAAGTTCACAGGGTACACGTGCGATACATGTTCATTTAGGGTCCATTATTTCCAGGCATTGTGCTAGGCATTGGAGATACAGTGATGACAAACACACTTTCTCCCTTGTAGGCAACCACATTCTAGTAGGGTTAGAGATGTATAAAGAATTTATTGTATGATGTATGTGGTATTATAATAGATTATATATCAAGACACAATAGAAATAGGAAAGAGAGAGAGGGCACGTCTACATAGGGACTCACAAGAGATTTCACACAAGAGCAAGTCCATGGGAAGAAGTCACCAAGCAGGAAGGGGAAGAATTACATTCTAGATAGAAGAAGGAACATGTGCAATAGCAAAAAAGAGGGAAACGGCATAGACCAATACAGTGCTTTCGAAAGCAGTAGGGAGCTTTTTCCGGCTAGAGTGAAGATGTAAGATTGTTGATGAAGAGATGGATGGGGCTTTGAATACTCTGCATACCATCCTAAGGAGTTGAATTTTTCTTGCTCAAGATGGCTGTAAGTAGGGTAGTGAACTGGTGACTTAAAGATACTTAAATCTGACTCTGAATGTCCCATTTCATACTGGCAGGTAGGCACACCCAGTCTCATCCTAGACCATCCCCCACTCAGGGTTGCACATTTGTTTACATAGAAATGGGCACAGGCAGCTTGACTCCACACACTATGAGGTTTTATTTCCTGGAGACTACTTTCTAGCTGGTGGAACCAACAAAAAAAAAGCAGCAAACTGTATTTTTACATTAAACAAAATTAAAGGAAGAAAAAGAAAGAAAAGTAAAAACAGGTATATTTGCAGTTTGATATATTCCAGTGTAGTAGGACTCATTGACACTGGAGCTGTCAGTGAGGAAAGAAAGGAATAAGTTAACCTAGTCCACATAGAGAGACATTTGAAACAAAACTCAAAACCTGGTCTTATATAGAGAGAGACACAAGAACCTGAACTCCTTCACTCTGTCTGATTACTTCTGCAATAACTTGCTAGTTTTATTTAGGAATCTCTCTAGCTGGGAATGAAGTCTCTTACATCCGTCAAGTACTGGCACTATATAAATGAAATAGCATTATAAAACAACAGACAGATATCTACACCTACGCATATTAATGATGTACTAACATTTCACTGTGGTTCCGAATTTGTAATGAGCTTTCTGCCTCTGCCAAGTGCACAGTGGCACAGTATTGGTAACGTGTGTGCAATCACACCTTTAAAATAAATGCAGTCCATTAATCAAATATGACCCACAGTAGCAGAGGAAAGAAATCCTGAAAATGTGATTTTTATTTTATTGCTTGCCCCTCCATGCAAGTTTTGGCTCCCTGCCGGCTGCTGATGGAGAGCCATTCCTTGTGACAAGGGGCCTGGAGCTGATTGTAAGGGAACCTGCTGTGTTCCTTTAGTGTACGTTTAAAAAAAAAAAAAAAAAAAGAACACAGCATTTTTTTTTCTAGGTGGAAATGTGCTGGTAATGCTTGCTTTTTTGGCAACTTTTTATTGATACATAATAATTGTATATATTTTATATTTACCAAGTACATGTGATATTTTAAAAGTCAAAGTATTTCAGACACTTTCTTCTGTGCACCTAAGCCGTGTAATTAGTAATAGAGCCCAAGTCCTGGTCACAGAGGATCTGTGTTGCAGGATAAAAGAGAAGAGAGATCAAGACCACTCCTCAAGTCTTATTTGCACCTAAAAACCTAAGGATTGTTCCCTCCTTCATCCCATCCTACCTCCTCCCTTGACAGGTCTTGCTTTTCTGCTGCCTTTCCCCAAAACATAGTCTCCTCCATGATTTTTATCTCTATGAAAGGGCAGTAGCCACTTCAGAACCCCACAGACTATTGCCTGTAAAATCATATCTGGTTGATATCTAGGTTGGAGTTCAGCATAAACCTTAGGCTATTAGGAGGGAAATTATAGCCTCATTAAAAGAACAATTGCACAGGTCTAAGAGGAAAAATGCATAATGACATAAACCTAATCTTTCTTTCCAACTACTCACTTTGGTTTTATTCTAAGAAATGGAGTAGCAGTTGACAATTAACATAATAATTAATCTAACATAATTATATAATAAAATATATAGGTTATATATAGTATACAGTATATACTATGTTTATATACAAGTATATATTATATATCTTAATTTGCATTTCTGATTACATGAATGATAATAAGCATTCTTTCATGTATTTAGCCCCATTTGGATTTCCTTTTCTGTGAACTGTGAATGTTCACATCATTTGTCCATTTTTTTCTTGTGTTTTCACCTTTCTTACTGTTTTGTAGGCATTCTTCATTTACTAGGGCACTTAGTCCTTTGTAATATGAGTTGTGAATTTTCCCTCAGTTTATTGTTCTTATGACTTCACATATGATGTCTTTTGCCACAAGTAAGTTTTTATGTATTCAAATCTCTCAATGGATCAAATCTCTCAATCTATAGCATCTGGATTTTGAGTCATAGTGAGGAAGTTCTTCATTAAGTCAAATTATGATTCTCTCATTTCGTCTGGTACTTATATGTTTTATGTTTCACAGTGAAGTAATTGATTGGTTTAGAATTTGTAGTGGTAAGTGACATAAGATATAGATCCAAATTTCTTTTCAAATGTCCATTCTGTTAATGAAAAATCCAAGCTCTGTAAAATATTTTAAACAAGTCTATTATGAGCCAATATGAGTGACAGTAGCTTGTAGAAAACCTTTTGCTATTTTTTATTGATACATCATAATTGTATATATTTTATATTTATCAAGTACATGTGATATTTTAAAAGTCAAATTATTTCAGACTCTTTCTTCTGTGCACCTAAGCCATGTAATTAGTAATAGAGCCCAAGTCCTGGTCACAGAGGATCTGTGTTGCAGGATAAAAGAGAACAGAGATCAAGACCAGCCTTATGTATCAAACCCAAGAAGCCTTAACTAAGTGGTCCCAAGGCAGTTAGGTCATAACTCTGTTTTATACATTTTAGTGAAGCGGAAGTTACAGACAAAGTCATAAATCAACACACAGAAATTATATATTGGTTTGGCCCCAAAAGGTGAGATATCTTGAAGTGGGGACTTACAGGTCATAGGTGAGTTCAGAGATTCTTTAATTTGCGATTGGTTAAAGGAGTAAAGCTTTTTCTAAAAATCTAGAGTCAGCAGAAAGGAATTTTTAAGATAAGGAAGGCTGTGAACCAATACATTGGGTCAAAGCGACCTGTAAGTGTGTGTGATTTCACCCTTGCCTGGCATGGCCTTAGGTCCCGTTTTTAATTTGGTATCTCAGTGTCACAAAGAGTCTGTTTTGTTAGTCTTATGATCTCTATTCTAACATTAATGCTGGTCAGTTGTTGTGTCTAAACTCCAAAAAGGAGGGTGTATAATGAGATGTGTCCGATCTCTTGTTGCAGGACTTTTCCTTAGTTCAGCTAAAAACAGGGTTCTTTGTCCCACGGCCATGAAAATTCAGACTCACAGATAATTTAAATGTAACACAGGGTTTTATTGGGTAAAAAATAAGAAAAGGGGGAAACAGGGACTCCCACAAGGCTGAAGTCACTCTGCTAGAGTGCTTCCTGCTCAGTTGTTCAAATCCCAGTTTCCACACAAGGAGAGGAGGGGCCAGGCTCCTCCCTGCTGCAAACAGCGTGAACTTCCCAAGACTCCACCCTGATGCTCATTTCTCCCAGTGCACAGGCTGGCTGGAGTTTCTCTGTGGGCCCCCTCCCACCTGGCTGTCTCATTCCCCCCTCTAAAGAAGTATATCTAACTGCTGCTAGATTAAAGATAAGGATGAAGACCGATCTAAACCGCTTCCTGCTGACAGGGGGCGCTGACAGGGGAAACGGCAGTCAGAGCTCCCTCAGAGGCCTATCTAAGTGGTCTCAGCAAAAGGGACCATTGTCAGAGACTCCAGCTGCATGACCATTTGGAGTCTGATGGCCTGAAAGCAAGAACAGAAAAACTGGGTTACTAGAAAACATGTATCAAATCGAAACAAGCGGGAGGTAAGGACAGCTCAAAAATTATGAGGCCTTTTACCAGTTTGCATAGGGTGAGGGAGGCCAAAATCCTGACTGGTAAAAAAATCTTTACCCTTTTGTCAGATGTTGGGCTTCTGGGTTCCCTTCCAGTGAGCCCAATCCTAAACCAACCAGTTTAAGGTTTTGGAAATTAACTTTTTCCAGGTTGGAGGATGCATCTGAGGGGAGTGTCTCATAGTACAGAGACACAATTACCTATTGATGAAGAGAGAATCGAGGAGGAAAAAGGAAAAAAGAAGGTGTTTTTTCAAAGGAGTCCCAGTGGTTCAGGATGCATTTGAAAGGGGTACAGACTGAAGATGAATGGCTACCCTACTAGAAAGAGGGGAACAGGTGTCCCTCATTTCCTTCTCTTCCTAGCAGATACCCAGGGTAAGTGAGTAAGAGAAGGAAGAGTGTCCCCTTTCTCTCTTCCATCCTTGCATCCCTGAGTCCCGGTGACCTTGGTAGGTCCTGCCATGAGTGTAAAAGCAGCTTGCACCCATGACACAGGGAGGGCCTAGAGAATAGGAATTATCTGCTCTCACCTATGCCTCTATCCCCCCTACTGTCAGTAGCCTTGGAGTTCCCTAGACCTCATTTATACCACGGATATTAACGTGGCCTTTATTCATAAAACAGGAAGCTTGGGGTTGGCTTAATCGGCAGGAATCAGCCAGGCTCACCTGTGCTGTGCCTTTTAACCTCTGTTGTCATTTGCCTCTGGATCCCTCAGATCCAGTTTTCCTTCCTAGAGCTTTGACCCGAAGCTTAGAATAAAGTTTGGGACAAAAATATGTCTCAGGGGGTTGCATGGACTCCTTATCATAAGCCAAATGCTAAAATGAAACTGTGGAACTGAGTCCTTCTCCAACAAGGGAGAGAAAAGGATGTCTTTTGATACATCCAGATAACTGGTGGCTACAGTTATGCTTGTTAGGATTTGGGTGCATGGTGCTTGGCTTTGGTTAGTTTTCTTGGTCCTACTTTCCCCAGAAGGAAACCTCTGGGTGATGGGCATTCTATGTATTCCCTATTTATTCCATCACCTGGCAGGATTTGCAGGATAATTGCTCAGAACTAGAATATTGATCCAGATTTCTATATTACCCATCCCTTTTGTTCTTTCTGAGCTGCAGCAGAAGATTTCTAGTTGATTCACAGGAACAAGCAGGGTTAGTCTAAAATGTAGGCAAAAACTTTAAAACAACTAGTGAATATAGAATTTAATAACAAATATATGATAAGTTTTGAAACAAGATTTCTCTCTCTCTGCAGTCCTCATGTTTGTTAAAAAAAAAAATCATCGTGGGCCTGAGTGGTTTGCAAAATAGACTTTAGTCTTATAATTGGTCTGATTATTTGCGTAAAGTGTAGCAAGAATAACTATTTCTACATAGGCCTTTTGGATTGTCTTTGATGGAAGTCTGTTCCACAAGGAATCTCAGATAAGACCTTTTAAAGCCAAGCCTAACCATGGGTTTATCCTCAAATACCTGTGAGTTAGGTAATCCTCTCCTCTTAAGGTCCCATAATAAACTTGGAGCTCCTAGATCTGTTAGAAAGTGACATTCTTTACTGACCACAGGTCAGGAACCCTGTACAGGAACTGTGTAGACAAGGGTATGAGGCTACTTTCCCCACTGGGCTTTTATTGGCTCTGCATATCAAGATTGACTCGTTTAAGGGAAGCATACCCTTCCAGTCAAAGCCTTGATAAAATTACCAGTTTCTCCAATTGTGTCCTGTTGCAAAAGAAAAATGGATTCTTATTGCAGTGACACAAACAACTATATTGCCATAAGAATATTCACAGATATAGTTTCCAAATTCTAGAGGAATCAGGCAGAGAGAAACAAATATGCTCCAAATTTTGATCACAGGAGTGTATACCTTACTTAATTATTAAAGGCTGTAAATAGTTCAAAATAAGTTTCCTTGACACTGGAAAACCAAACAAGGATCAGCAATGTACCAAGCAAAAGTAAAAAAGGTTTGCTGCAGCTTCCTGAGTTCAGTCCATTTAGTTAACTCCGGTTTTGCTTGATATTCATGAACATTTCAGCTCTTTGTGAGTCCTGTACATATTGCTTCATTCCAATGTTAACAGTCTCTAAAGTTATCAGAAGCCTGTATTTGAGAGCACCTGTTAAAGTCCTATAGTTCATTATAAACCAGCTTTGAAAAAGATTAAAACAAGACAACAATTGTCTGTGAATAGCAAAATATCTAGGGTAGTTACAGTAAGAAACAAGATTGACAGAGAAGTTTGGTTATCTCCATGGTTTACGATAACATAACAACCTTAATTATGATTCACAGCATATACTTAGACATTAGAATTTTGGAAATCCCATACAATTGTGGAACATATATTAGCATTATTCACCAAGACATAACCTGAAGAAGATTGAGCATCATTTTGACAATCCCACATTCCTAAACATGTCAAATAATCTTGTTTACCTCTCTTTTCTGGATACTTCAGGGGCCCTCTGATGTATTCAAAAATCCAGGTGCCAGGGAAGACAATTTTGAAACTTAAGTTTGATTTGGGGAAGCCTTATAAATATGTTTAAAGCAGTTGATATTATGAAATAAAATTCCAGATGACCATATGTTATTTATTTTGCCAGAAAGATGACTCAGAAATTTGAAAGAGGCAAAACCTTTTATAACCCTTTATAAATTTTGCCAAAGAGCAGATTAGCATTTTGAGAGTACCTTGTTATGCTTTTATTTTAATGCTCAATTTACAGAAAAACCATATAATACCCTTCCAAATTTAGTCAATATGTTCACATAGAGAACCTCTTCTGCAAGACTAATTTTGACAATTCTTCCACCACTTCTTTGAACCTTCAACTTTTTCCTATCTAGTTTAAAACAATCCTTAAGCTCTAGGCAAAAGTTTACACTTCCATGCCTTCTTATAACCTTTTACTAAAAAACACATTTCACTGTTTTTACATACCTTGCATGTAAATCTATTTTCAGCAGTCTCAATTACATGTTATAATGATAACTCCTAGAAATTTTTAACTTTAAGGTAAAACTTGGTAAGTTCCTTTAATTGTGTACTAACTGCAGCCAGGTTTGCCTTCTTAGTTAAGAGTGTGGTTAGTTCCATATGTCCCCAGGCCTTACAAGTTGTGAAGCCAGCAAGTCAAATAGTTCTCAAAACCCAAAAAGCAGTTTGTAACCTCAAAACACTTAGCAAACTTTGCATCTGACCTGCATTTTACTAATAGTCTTTAGGGCTGTTTTTACTTCTCAAAGATTAAAGTCATGTGAACTGAAAGGTACCACAGCTTTTACCTTCCCTTTAAAAAACACTTGATCCAAGTGCTTGTCTTTCTTTAGGCCAAATTAATTAGAGCTCTTTTTAAAGATATTACACACAATACACACACAGACAGACAGAAGCAATACACACACACAGACAGGCAGAAGAAAATGCAATCCCCACAAGATCCTTTTTCACAACCAAAGCTTTAGAGAGTACAAGCAGTGACAGCTGGAGGACCTAGCCTAGTGAAAACATCTACGAGGAAAATAAAAACTTTAAAGGTTAACTGCTGTGGGGTTGATAAGGGGAAGAAAAAACAGTTAAAAAAAAATGCCTGGGGAAGAACCTCTTATTTTATGCAACTGGTTCCTTCACCAGGAGAAAAGCTTAATTACTGTTGATGGAGTAAAGCCCCTTGGCTGGGGAAGGGGAAGCCTCTGGTGGTGTGTGGTGGAAACCACAGCCAGCTGGCTGTGTGGGACCCTTGGACCACGTGTCCCAGCCCTGACAGGGAGGGGAGAGTGGTGTGGAGCTGCTGCTCGCCCGTCGGTCCTGAAAAAGGAAGGAAAAGACCATGAAAATCTCCGGGAGTGACGGAGGGTGTGGGCATAGTTTCCCCCACCCTCAGAAGTCCAAGGATGAAAAGACTTAGAAGCAACAGTGAGAGGTTTTGAGTCCCCATTTCACTCACCACCTCTTGAGCCCCACATTGGGTGCCAAAAATGTTGCAGGACTTTTCCTTAGTTCAGCTAAAAATGGGGTTCTTTGTCCCACAGCCATGAAAATTCAGGCTCACAATTTAAATGGTGAGTAAGACAGGGTTTTATTGGGTAAAAAGGGGGAAACAGGGACTTTCACCAGGACAGTGTCCCTCTGCTAGAGCACTTCCTGCTCGGTCATTGGGATCCCAGGTTCCATGTAGGAAAAGAAGGAGCCAGGCTCCTCCCTGCTTCAAATGGCAGGAACTTACCCAGGCTCTGCCCTGGTGTGCATTCCTCCCAGTGCACACGCTGGCTGGAGTTTCTTTGGAGACCCCCTCCCACCTTGCTGTCTCACTCTCATCCCATCACAGCCAAGAACTCAGTGTTTCAGGTTTCTCAGGGGTCCCCTTGGCCAAGATAGGGTCCACTCAGTCAGCTGGGAGGCTTAGGATTTTATTTTTAGTTTACTAGCCAAAACATGTATTGAGAGCACCTTTTTTCATCCTTGTATTTGAGATGTCACCATTTTCATATATTATTGCTATATGCATTTCTGTCTATTTAGGACTTTCCATTCAATTTTATTGGCCAGTTTTATTTTGTTCTGTTTCGTTTTCACAGTCCAATAGTACACTCTTTAAATTTTGAGACTTTCTAATATATGTTAATATCGGTATGATATTTTTTCTCAGTACTCATTTTTTAAGAGTATTCCTGGAATTGTTTTATTTTCCCATATGACACTTAGGATCATCTTTTTCAGCTCCCTCCTTCTGCCCCATCCTCAAAAAAAAAGCAGCTGTGGCATTTTTATTATAATCAAGAGTGTTTTAATTTGTAAAATAGAGAGTATTATCATCTTTATAATGTTAAACATTCTTATATAAAAATATAGTATGCATTTTCATGTATTTGGATCTTGTACATTTTAAGAGTGTTTTTGAGTTTTCTTAGGTCTTACATATTTCCTGTTTAGCCTAGATAGTTTTACCTTTTTTAGCGCTATTGTAAGTGGGAAGGTATTTTTTTAATCACATCTTCTAACTAGTTGTTCTTTTTATATTTGATTACTATATGTTAATTTTGTGGCTGTTTTGATTGTTTAGTGGTTTTAAATTAATTCTCTAGGGTTTTACATTAAACAATCAACTATTTGAAAATAAGATGCATTTTTCCTGCCACTTTCCAATTTTTATACTGCTTATTTCTACTGTCTAATCACCTTGGCTTATACTTCCAGTACAATGTTGAAGAACAGTGGCCATAGCAAGCATGTTTCTCTTGTTCTTTAATGGGAATGTTTCTTATAATTTCTCAATAAGTAATGTGTTTGCTTTGGGGATGTTATAGCATACATGTTGAAAAAGAATTTAGCAAAATTTAATATTCATTCTTGATAAAATACTCAATAAAAGAAAAATCGCTATTTTTATCATATGATGCACTATATCTCTCTTCTGGGTTCTGATAACCGCTCACATTCCTCATCCCTTTGGGCCTAACTGGAGCATTAGTTCTCCTGTTACCAGCCAATTGTTGGGTATGCTACACTATTCCTGGTGGTCCCTTACGCCCTGCACACACATTTATAAATAGCTCCTTTATTAAACCTTCTTAGATACCCTAATATGAGTATGCCATCGCTGTCCTGTTGGGACTACAACTGATGCAGACATTTTCTCTTGATGTCCACATTCTTTAATAGTGCAAGCCAGAGCCCTTCAAAGAGCCCAACTTCAGCAAGATAAGAAGAGTGCACCAGAATGAAAATCCATGTACTATTCCTATCATTGAGAAAGTCTTAGTTTAAAAAAAAATTAACTGGACTAAACGGCATGTTTAGTGACATACTTGATTTACATTCCTTATGTAACATAGTTACATAAGAGTTTACATAACAGGATTTACATTCCTGTCACTAACCAGTTACAATGCTGGCTATAAGCATGGATCGGCTGCTGGCCCAAGGACCACACTTTCAGTAGTACAGGTACAAACAGCATCAGATTTGCTGATCTTCAAAGATTTGAAAGACTTCTCCTGTGAAAACATTAGAACCTAATAATGCTTTGGAGAAGCTCTTTGACAGCTTTATCTGTTTATCTGTTCTTCAACAGAATCCAGTTTGTTTAGATTTCCTGTCTCTTCTATATTTAGTTTTTATTTTGTCATACTGTGCTTTTTTTCCCTGAAGTATAATTTATGTACAGAAAAAAACTGCGTAGTTCTAGTTTTGACTAATGTATTCACCTATAACGAGTGCTTGTAATCAAAATATAGACCATTTTTCACCCCCAAAAGTCTCCTCGTACCTCTTGATAGTCAATCCAAACTCTCCCCCAGGCAACCATTGATTTCTATCACTACAGAATTTTTGTATATTCTTTAATTTGTATAAATGAAATCATACAGTAAGGCTCATACACTTTTGTATCTGACTTTTTTTATTTGGCGTGCTTCGGAGTCTGTTGGTTTTTCATTTTTCTTGAAAATTGTACATGTTATTGACAGATATTGAAATTTACCAGCACAAAGTTGAGCAATGTCTTTTCTTAAGATTCTTTAACCATTTTTTTCTGTTTATTTATCCCTATTGCTTCTTATATTATTATTTTCCTCTCTATCTCTATGATTTTCTTCTTCAGATTTGATTTACAGACCATTAATAGATTAAACTCTCCAGGAAATCAGCTGTGATCAAGTTACTCTTCAGTTAAACTCCTTCACATTTTCCAATTGCCTATGGAATGAATTCCAAAGTTCTTATCCTGTCATCCAAATCTCTGCACTGTATGGTCCAACTTAACCTTGCCTGCTTCTCTTCTCAAGACTCCACTGAGAATTTTATATACTTTGATTTGCCCTTAGTTGAAAAAAGCATTGGAACCAATGATGAATTAATTGTAGAAAATTTGATGAGGATATTAGCCTTTACATCTTTCATTGTCCCCCATATAAATATTCACATAAATAAATATTCTTTATGAATTAGCATGTTTTCTTCAAATGTGCAACGAGATCTATGGAATTTACCAGGTTTCCTTTTCATTTGGTCATGGAAATTTGAAAGTCATATTCCAACCTGGAGACTGTGTAGGATTTAGAAACTCCATTTTTCTTCTCTTCAACCTTCTGTGTGTGGACCTTTTATTATCATTTGCATATTTTAATCTCTCATGTATCTGATTCTTTTCCTTTTTTATAACTATCTTTAACAATCTCCACAAATGGTCTATATCCCTTATACAGTAAAATGAAAATGCATAAAATTATCAAATTTTAGTCTGAATGTACATATTTTAAACTTTCAAATCCCTGTGCCTTTTTTCTGATTTTTTTTCTGAACCTGGACTATTTCCACCCCACTACCACCACCCCATCACCTAAAATATTTTACTCTTTGTACTCCAATGATCAAACTTCTACTTTTCCTTTTATATTCACCTTGAATGTTGGCCTTTGCATAAAATTTTTCTCACCTCCACTGGGTGAATGCAACTTGTGTAACATTCACCTCTTGTTAAACTTGTCTTACTCCATGCTTCTCCACGTGTTCGCTTTTGTCTCAGGCTGATGTCAAGATGCCTGCAGCAGTACCACGCATCACATCCAGTGCTGGGAACATGCCAATAAAAAAGGGATCCATTCTCCCGTTTGCTAGGTGGCAAGGTAACTTTCCCTAGAAGCTTTCCCTTACCATCATTATTGGCTACAGTTGACTGCATAACCATTCCTAAATAATGCACAGGAGGGGATAATGAGATTCCCAGGATTGGCTTAGACTAATCAGTTTAAATTCTCAGAAGCTGGGCATGAGGTCAGTTTCCCCTGAAGCCCATAATTGTGTGGAGAATGGCAGATACTAAATAAAATCAAAAATCAGTGAGGAAGGAAAATAGAGGGGAATATATATTGGGTTAATCAATGGTGTATTCTGTAATTGTGACTTTTCCCTCCCAGAATCTTTATATTTTGGTTGTACTTTTTGTAATTCACCTAACACTTTCTTGTATTTTAGTTATCTGTGTACTTATTTCTACTGCCTGCCAAAATTAAGTTCTCTGATAATAGAAACTCACTAAGTGCCCCACTCAGCAACCTGAAGAGTGGCTTGCTGTATTAGGTGTTCAATCAATAAGTATATGTTTAACTAAATTCCTTGTTTTCCTCCTGGACAGCATGGGTAAATGGCCTGTGTCTCCACTGATGTGTGTCCGCAGCAGGTACTTCTGTGTAGCTTCATGTTTTGGTTTGGGTGTCTGTCTCCTATTAATTACCACCCACTAGCCCACACCAATAAAGATGTTACTATAAACTTGGGTTTATTAAGTCCTGTGCTTTGATTTCCCTATAGTGAAAATGAATCCCCTATTCATGAACATTCTCTCACCTGGTTCCCCTTCTGACCCATTTTTAGAATGGCTCTCAAGGGCTAGGTGCAAACTGAGACCAAAGGACAAAGCTTTTCTCTGTGCAAAGGTGACTGGCTCACACCTGGATCCACCTTGTGGCCCAGGCCTCATTAGCACCATATTCTAATCCTGCAGAGAACTCCCAGCCAGACTTCCAAGAGCAGCAAGGACAGCAAGCACTCTGTGTCCTACCGTGGCCAGACCCAGCCAGAAGGGGCCAGGAACATCTGGTAGGATTCTGCACCATAGGGTGGCTGCAAAATATTCAATGTTTAAAGAAAGGAATACCCTCAACCTCACCAGGCCCCAGAGATACGGCATTTGAAGAAAGATGTCTCCTTGCTCAAAGCTGCTCTCTTCTCCTCAACCCTAGCAGTAACAGTAAAACTTCAAATAATCTCAGTGGCTCTTTCCTCCCACAGCATGAATACGATCTGAGTATAGTCAGATTATTGTTTCTAGGATCCAATGAAATACTTTATTTATTTCAACTAGAAATCATCCTAATCAGCTCCTTTGAAAAGGTATACCCTCTAATACATAAACAGGACTTCTCTATCATGGAAGAAAAGATACACTGTAAAACAAATTTAAAAGTTCCTAAATTGCTGAGAAGCAAGCCTCACCAAATTTCCAGCAACTGCTCTAATAAAAATACCACCTTCAGGACAGTGGGGTGCTTTTAAGCATTAGTATCTGACCAGCTGGTAAAGGGAGAAAACTGAAAAGCTGGATCTACTGGCTGGAGATCAGAACTGGCTCTTGATGAAACAAGTGACAGCAGCCAGACTAAGTGGGAACAATCTCTAGAGTCAGACATCAGCTGAATGTCCTGGTGCTTTACCTTGGGGGGAAATGGGATTTGAAGGGGGTGAGCACTCCAATGAGACCATGAAGCCTCACTCTAGAGAACTGGACTGACAGGGGTTAAATGGATATTTCATTTTCAGTTTTTTCAAAGCCAATATTAGGAAAAGTAATCCTAGTCTCTCTCTTTTCCCTCAAGCTCCCCTCTCTTTCTAATATCTCAGCTTTTTAAAATTATTGTTACAAACCACCCCTGGACACCACAGAGCAGAAACACATAAGTAAACTCTAAAAATAGTGAGTACTCACATACTGCTTACCATGTGCTAGGCACAGTTCAAAATGTTATATGACTACTAATCCATTCAGTGATCATATTAACCCTTTGAGATAGGTACCATTTAGGGATCTAATTAAACTAAAGAGCTTCTGCACAGCAAAAGAAATGATTATCAGAGCAAACAGGCAATCTACAGAATGGGAGAAAATTTTTGCAATCTACCTGTCTGACAAGGTCCAATATCCAGAATTTACAAAAAAAGTTAAACAAATTTTTTAAAAAACAACCCCATCAAAAAGGGGGCAAAGGACACGAACAGACACTTCTCAAAAGACATTTATGCAGCCAACAAACAAATGAAAAAAAAAAAACTCGACATCACTCATCATTAGAGAAATGCAAATCAAAACTACAGTGAGATACCATCTCCTGCTAGTCAGAATGGTGATCGTTAAAAAGTCAAGAAACAACAGATGCTGGTGAGGCTGTGGAGAAATAGAAACACTTTGACACTGTTGTTGGGAACATAAATTAGTTCAACAATTGTGGAAGACAGTGTGGCTATTCCTCAAAGATCTAAAACCAGAAATATCATTTGACCCAGCAATCCCATTATTGGGTATATACCCAATAGAGTGTAAATCATTCCATTATAGTATGTGTATTGCAGCACTATTCACAATAGAAAAGACACAGAATCAACTCAAACGCCCATCAGTGATAGACTGGATAAAGAAAATGTGGTACATATATACCATGGAAAACTATACAGCCGTAAAAAGGAATGAGATCATGTCCTTTGTAGGGACATGGCTGAAGCTGGAAGCCATTATCCTCAGCAAACTAACACAGGGACAGAAAACCAAACACCACAAGTTCTCACTCATAAATGGGAGCTGAACAATGAGAACATGTAGGTGATATTAGAGTCACCTGAGAGTATTTTTAAAATACTGATGCTTGACTTAATACTGAGATGTTCCTACATGCTCAATAGAATGGCCAAAGTTTAAAAGTCTAACAATACTAAGTATTGGTGAGAATGTGAAACAACTGGACTTCTCACACATTACTGTGAAAATGCAAATGATATTGAGAAACAATATGGCAATATCTATAAAAGCAATAATTTACTTACCATGTAACCCAGCAGTTCTGCTCCCAGAGATATTAAAACATATGTCCACACAAAGACTTGTATGCAGATATCCATGGGAACATTATTTATAATATCCAAATAACTGGAAACAGCTCAACTCTCCATTGACTGGTAAAAAGATCAATGAATTATGGCTTATCCATACTATGGAATTCTACTCAGCAACAAAAAGGAAAAAATATTAAAATATGCAGCAATATGAATGAATCTCAAAAGCATAAATGTATGCTAAGTAGAGAAAGTCAAATCTAAATGAATACACACTATATGGTCTCATTTATATAAAGTTTTAGAAAAGGCAAAACTATAGTGACAGAAGATAGATCAGTGGTTAGCTGGGGCCAGGTGTCAGGAGAGGGGATCAACTAACAAAGGGCACAAGGAAACTTTGTAAGGAGATAGAACTGTGCTAAGTCTTGATTGTGATGGTGGTTATATGGCTGTACAGTTAACAAATTTCATCAAGCTGTATAGTTAAATGGATGAATTTTTATTGTACATAAATTATACTTCAGTTAGCTGATACCACAACACAGACTAATTAAATCAGGACCTGACAGCTCTGGGCATCAGGAACTTCTAATATACAGCCAGGATGCAGAACTGCTGTTCTAGGAAAAAGAAATATTATTAGCAAATGCATGTATATTTATATATATATATACACGCACACACACACACATATATATATATACATATAAATATGTAAATAAAATACATTTTTAAATAGTAAAACTTGGCATTTCAGGATTTCAGGGAACAACGTGGCTAGACCACAGGGTCCCCAAGTATGACTAGTACAGATGAGTCTAGAAATATAACTTGGGAAAGATCATGGAGGGCCTCACATTTTCTTAGTGAATGAATGCTCCAGACCATCCATCAGAAAAGCAATTTTTTCCCTGAAAACCTGTAGAAGAAATATTTTCAAAGATTAGAAGTGAGAATATTATTAGTATTCATGTCTCTGCAAATGATACTATTATTGATAACAAATATTCCTCTGGACTATATTGTATGTATCTATGCTAAGGAAGGGGAACTGATTATGTCACTATGTGATTTTGAACAAGTTTTCTGTTTTTAACTTCAATAAACTTCTGTTCACCAATCTGTAAAATCAAGTGCTGGGCTGAAGAATTTCTCAGACTCCTTGTAGCTTCTACCCATTTCTTCACATGAAAGGAATTAAACCTAAAAAACAATGCCATATTGAAAATAATGACTCCGGTGGGGGTCGGGGGGGGGGTGTCTCAAGGGTCCTGGATCAAGGTCATGTGATTGATATTCTTTTCCCCTTTTTTCTTCAAGGGCCACGTGATGCCTGTCATTGAATCTCCTTGCTTTTTCTCATTCTACACACTCATTTTTCCTGCTAACTTACCTTGTGCTCTAAAATGGCAACTTCAACTCCCTGGTCTATAGGACCTTTTAGCTTGGTTTCTCAAATTTGAGAAAAAATGTAATCATGGCTTTTCATCCTAAATATGGCCCCTACTCCAGTGGGTATCAATTCCTGATAAATTCATCTTGGCGGGGAGGGGCCGACAGAATAAGTGCAGTATTTAGGATTGCTCCTCCCTGTGCAGGACAGATAATGGAACCATCTAGTACACTAGCAACATGGTCATTCAATTTTTACTCTGCAAGATTCATCATAGATCCTATTATCCATGAAAATTCTCCACTTCTGTTATCTGAATTTAACTTCTGGAGATGTGTGTGTGTGTGTGTGTGTGTGTGTATGAATATGTATCGTGTGGGCACGTGTGTGTCTGTGTGTGCCACGTGCATGCTTCAGGCAATATTCCGCTTCTGTTGCAATTTGTTCTGAAAAAATATCAAATGATTAAACATTTTAGGGGGATATAAAATTAGATTTATATTTTCTTTTTAAAAGTATCATTCTTATACTTAATAAGAAAGGAAATATTTTTGTACCTGCATATCTGGTGCTGTCAGTAACTCTTTTTATTTATGCAGCAAAATTTCAACAAAGCAGTAATTACATGATCTTAAACATAGTTGATAACATTGGAGGTGACATCTGATAGTTTGATACTTAAAATAGCCACAACCTAAGAATTCTGAATAATGGAGACAAATTTCCAGGCAACAATATGCCAAGGTGGGGATTTGTTCTTTTTCAACCAAAAGCTAAAGCATCATTGATAGAACAAACAACAGACCACAAAGAAAACCTTCTTATTACTACAACAGAGATGTTTTATAAAATCTTACCCAACAGATAGTTTTGTAAGTCATGCATTGAATTAGAATTTCAACTCATGAAGGTCTTATAAATACATAGATTGATATAGTAGCAAATAGGATCAGAAAAGTCTAACACTATGGAAAATGAAGTTGTCTAAGACTATAAACTTCATTCTCAACAGAGAGGCCAAGGATTTTCTGCAATTAGTTTCTGACACATGGATATGAACATAGGTCTAAGAAAGAGGAAATAAGCAACACAAAGAAGAGAAACAGCACTCTCATAACTTTCATTACATTACCAGAATAAGGATTCATAGTTTAAAAATCAGAACTACACTTAATTCTACTACTCTGTGTGTCACATATATGGTTTTAAGTGTGTATACACATATGCGTATACACATAGGTACATCTATATGTTTAAGATGACCACATAATAGTCCATGTAGATCATCCAGAGTACATGCATGGTTTCTGTTAGCTAACCCTTTTTGTTGTCTCTATCCAGTTAAAGAACTCCTTCTGGTACCAGGAATAGAACTGAGTGTACTACCTACTGTGTGTATCTGTCAATATGTGTTTGCTTCTCTGTGTCTGTCTGATTCTCTTTTTCTCTTTTTGTTTCAAGAGGAACTCAAAAATGCTCCCTGGCATTTCCATGCCAAAGCCATTTCCCATCATAGCAATTAAGCTCCTTTGATGGTAGAATATGCCCCCATGTGAAACTCACATAAAATATTTTCGGCCATTAGCCCTTCTTCAGGCTGAGATGTAGCACTGCCAGTATGAAATATAAAATTGCTTATTTAAAAACCAATAAGGAAAAAATGTCCCTGATAGAAGTAAAAGCCTGGCATCCCTAGACTGCATGCATCATCACAGCATCAGCAGCTGCTTCCTCAGTCAGTGGCAGAACAGTAAATCTAGGAGCATGGCTATTCATCTACAGTATGGTTAGGAGGAGGCCAGAAGAGAACAGAATGACATCGGGTGAAAAATGAGTTGCTGATCAGCTAAGGTTACTGTCCGACTCCAAAGGTTATGGCAATATAATCATCTGCTCTTGCTCTGCAAGGGAAACTCAATATTGCCTTAATTACTTTGCTTTTGTTATCCATTGTATTCCCAATGCAACATCACATCCAGCAAACGAATGAATAGAGCATTCAGTTATTATATACATAAATTTATATTACTGAGATGGCACATATACTTTGATCCTATAAAGAGGATTTTGGGAGTTGACAGAAGGTTTTCATCTGAGCCTCCAAACGCCTGGCCCAGGACACTGGGGTAAACCATTACTCTTATTTTACTTATGTATTTATGTATTTATTTATTTATTTTTGAGATGGAGTCTCGCTCTGTCACCCAGGCTGGAGTGCAGTGGTACAATTTCAACTCACTGCAACCTCTGCCTTCCAGGTTGAAGCAATTCTGTTTCAGCCTCCCGGGTAGCTGGGATTACAGGTGCGGACCACCACACCTGGCTAATTTTTGTGCTTTTAGTAGAGACAGGGTTTCACCATGTTGGCCAGGCCGTTCTCAAACTCCTGACCTCAGGTGACCCGCCCGCCTCCGCCTCCCAAAGTGCTGGGATTACAGGCATGAGCCACCGTGCCCAGCCAAAAGATATGAATTTTTTAAACTATTCTCAAAAATCTTCAGCCAGTGGGCTATTGATCCATTAGAAGAGAGTTGACTGACTTAACATTGAGGTGATGCATCTTCATCTATGGAGGATGCTTCAGGAAACTCCAAGGCCCAGCCCCTAGGATTTCCCAGTGGACATATTTCTTTAACTTATAAATGTATATCCTTTACCATATGGTCCTACATATTTTTGCTCATTTGGTTTATAACAGTTGTCAGGCTCAACTATTCTACTCTAGTCTACTTAGAAAGTATGTTGTTTGAGCTGACAAGAATAATCATGTTTCAGTTTATTTTCACTTGGTAATGATGAGAGGAAAAGAAAAGAAGTAGTAGTCATTCTTTGACTTTGATGAAACCAGAAGGAAGCCACTGGGGTCAGTTAAAGACAGAAGAATTCAAAACCAGAACTTCTGTGAAGACATTCATTTCAAGAAAAATTGTGCTTTTAATATTTCTCTTCTGAAAAACATGTTATCTCAATCATCAATGAACATTTAGATCAGCAAAATGAAGGAAAAATATTCCATAATTCCAGTAAACAGAAATAATCATTATTAATTTGATAGGGTATTCATATATATAATTTTATTTATAAACATGAATGAAAGTCACTGGTTTGAGGGTATTAATAGATAGACATTGAGAACGTATAAGTGAACGAGGAAATACACACTTCTCCCTTTCTTGCTGATAACCTCCTATCAGGCCAGGACACAACATGGATATGACTTGCCTTCTTCACCACAGCTTTCCCTGTTCCAAAAGAGTCGCCTCTGTTATCCAAACCTGGACACTCAATGCCTTTCCCAGTAAAAGTCACCACTGTAAAAAAAAGAGTAAAAGTAAAGAACGAATCTGAAAACCAAACAAAAAGGCATGCATAGGCTTAGGGGATAGTTTGCTTCGTCAAACACTATCAATCACAGTGTTAAGCACTCATAACACATTTCTATCAAACTCATGTGAAACTTGGCACTTCTGAGCCCTGCTTCCCTCACAATCATACGTTTCTACTGCCCCCACCCCACCCCAGGCAGTCTTCAGCTTCACGGGAATGACATCTGTATCTCCAGATGTTTGTGTGTTATCAGGCCCTTCTCAGCCATTTTGATCAGGGTGCATGTACACAAATTATATCATAAATCTCTCACACTTCATATGCTATATCGAATAAGAAAAACACCAAATTTACACAGACCTATGTTAAGCCTAGGAATTGTAACTTGAGATTTAACATGCTATTTGTAAGGATGTGCTATTACTCTTAATCCCTCGATTAATACAGGCTAACACTACTGTACAGATTTATTATGGACCATATGCTCTTTAATTATCATTGCCTCCCAAAGTTACCACTCTGCACATCTGCAGCCGATGTGAGCTGCTGTTCCTCTGTCCCTGCCTCAGCAGGATCTGATAACCATTTTTCAGCTGGACACCTTGATGAAGAGTCAGTCCCAACAATGTCTCAGAAGAGTGATTAAAATAAAATAAAAGGGAAGGGAAACAAGCAGTGTTTTGGGGAGAGCGTAGGAAGTGGGGAAAATCCACTGTCAATGATGCTCCTCATCTGTTCAGGTTCCCTTTAGCTGAAATGATTTTTAATTGTAGATTGTTAATGTTTGTCTTCCAAAATCCAGCTGTTGTAAATGGAATTAAGGAGAAACCTTCCTCTCTTGAAGCAAATGAGAAAGTGGAGAGTGTGCAAACATTAACATGGTTCTTAGATCAAGATGTGCCTTGCTGATTTAAAATCTTTTGGAGCGCACAATCAGAGGAGACATAATTCATGGGGACTTGGGATTAATTTTTTAAAGATTTACACTGCAATTTTAAATGACATTCTAGCTAATTAAGCATCTCTCTACATCACAAAGGAACAGTTCTTATAAACTGTTTTCCTCTTTATTGAAGTTTAACATTCTTAAGGTCACACATCTCTTTCTGCCAATAGATACAAGACATGTGTATCAAGACAAATGTTTCCTAAAATATTGTAGGTTTGATTAAAAGATGGCAAGCTTTAGCAGAAAGAAACGTGACTTGTGGATCAGGAGACAGACATTGGGAAAATCACCTACCTTAACAGTTTTTCACTTCTGTTATAAAGGACTTGAGCCAGGTGATCCTTAAGGTAACTCCCCTCCCTAAATTAAGGGCACTAATTCACTAGTATTGAATTCAAGAGAGTTATAATCATTTGTGTTTTAGCCATACAGCAATCCAAGGAGGTTGATGGAAATTATTTAGTCCTATTCTATCACTGCAGAAATTAAGATCTTAATGATCCATTAATTCACCAAAGATCTTATAATCAGAATGAGTTTGAAGGTCAATCCCATGCTTTGAAAAATTTATTAATTCCCAAAAAGTTATTTAAAAATCTTTCAAAAGTAGAGCTTTCAAGTATCTCTTCAGTGAATATATGGAGCCTAGAATAGTCAGGAATGTCTAGAAAATGAATAATGATAAAGCTGCAGGACTTGGAACCAGAATTCAAGACTTACTGTTAAACAAAAGTAGCTAAGACAGTGAGGTTTCAGCTCAAGGGTAGACAGATAAACCAAAGAGACATGCTGGAGAGCCAAGAAACAGATCCACACAGCTATGGTCACTTGATTTATAATAAAAATGCCACTGCAATCCAGTGGGGACAAGACAGTCTTCTCAATAAATGGAAAAAGGGAAACATTGACCTTTATCTTACATCATGCACAAAAATTAATTAGAGATGGATCAGATACTTAAATATAAAAGATGAAAGCATAGCTATCTTTCAGAAGAAAGCATAGATATCTTCAAGACTTTGAGATAGGCAAATATTTCTTAACTGGAAAAAAGCAAGAAATTAACCACAAGGGAAAAGGTAAATCAATTATTTTGCATGAAATTTAAAACTCCTACTCTTTGAAAGACGACTTTAAAAAATAATAATGCAAGCAACAGACTGGAAAAAAATAATTGCCATATATATATATATATATATATATATATATATATATATATATAAAATGACTCATATTTAGAATATATAAAAAACTACAAATCAAAAAGAAAAAGACAACCCAGATTTTTTTAATGTGGAAAATACTTGATCAGACATTCACAAAAGTGAAATACATGGCCAATATACATACAAAAGCGAGATCAACATGCTTAGTTGGTTGAGAAATGCAAATTAAAATCACAATAAAATATCTCCACACACCATCTAAAATGCTGTAAGAGCACCTACACTCAACATATTAAATGTTGGTAAAGATGTGGAACTCCCATCTGCTGTTGATGGGACTGTAAACTGGTATAAGCCCTTTGGGAAACTTTTGGCCCATCAACTAAATCTAAGCATGTGTTTATCCTATGACCCAGCAATCCCACCCTTGGTGCTATGTTCACCAAAAATGTTCACCAAAAACATTTACTATAATGTCGTAGCTGTACTATTTATAGCTAAAAAGTAGGAAACAACCCAAATGTCCATCAATAATAGAATAACTAAGTTGTAGAATATTCATACAATGAAATAATTCACAGCAGTGAAAAAGAACACACTATTGCTCCACACCACAGCATGAATAAGATCTCACTGAAATAATGTTGAGCAGAAAAGAAGCACAATGTAAAAGACTATATATTATATTATTACACTTATATGAAGTTCAAAAACAGGCAAAATTAATATATGGTGGTAAAGGACAGAAAAGTGCTTACCTCTGTGAAGGAGTAGGAGGTAGGGGGAGAGAGGCAGGAAATCTTCTGTGCCTTGGTCTGAGTGGTGATTATAAAAGAATATGTCTATGCAAAGAGCATGTTGTCCTCTTGGGATTTGTACACTTTATTGTTTATAAGTTATACCTCAAATAAGAATATATACATGTGTGGGTGTGTATATACATATATATATATATATAAACTTCCAGAAAACTGAAGTGAAGATTACATTCTATTACTTCTTTATTTTTTGTTATCTGTTTTCAGTGAATTGGAAACGTTTCCCTGAATGTAAATTAGAAATTCTCAATGTATGAGAAAAATAATCATTTGAGCTTCCACCATAGATGGACGTATTCTTTCTTGGACAGACTTGCCTTCTCAAATGGGGTAATACGTAGGGTTCTCTTGTTATTTAACCCATGCCTAAAAAGTAGTGGGGTAAATGAAAAATTGTTTGAGGTAGGAGTGTGCAGGTAGGAATATGTGGAGGTGGGAATTTATATGATTACATATCAAGTGATTAGTACATTTTCAGAAATAGGAACATCAGTCTGAGACTATTCAACTTTCCTGTGAATTGAGAGTGAATATGAGGCTAAACTATCAAGGATGGAGGCCTTAACTTCTCCCCTTCCACTTTCCTAAACAGAAATGAAATTCACCAAAGCCCAGAAGGAATAGTAGGTTCCAATGTCCTGAATCTTCAGAGTTAGAAAAAACTGAAACTTACATCTACTATTTTTAAAAAATAATAATATGCCTTTTAAAAATTTACACTTTGCTGCTTCAATTTTCTCTTCTAAATGACATTGGTTCACATCAAAATCAGAAAAAAAAAAAGCCCCCAACTTCCAGCCTTCCATTTTCTAGATCCTGATGTGCAAAGTTTTTGTCTAGGGAGTGAGATTACTCACTTCCTATGACCCTTCCAGTCTGTGTCTCCATCTAGAATATCAGTTCTCATCCAAAGCATCCACTTGTACTCATGTGTTGTGATCATACATAAAATGAGTCACAAGAAATGTGTTATTGTTCATAAACAATGAAGCAAAGTTGCTTTTTAAGAAATTAGGGTAGGTTTAAGGATAACAATTTCCATTTCATAGTTGAAAATAAAATGGTGTTTGAGAGGTCAATGGCTTGCCCTAGGACAGAGAGCTAGGAAGAAGAACTGGAGCTACTGGTTTTTATCATAAACTGCTTCTCCATGGGAGTAAATTAATTGTGCATGTTTCATGGGAGGGATGATTCATCCGTGACACACATCAGACAGAGAATCAAGTTATTAAGATCTCAGGCTTTCTTTTCAAAGAGTAGGTAAATTCACCTCTGTGTCAATATAGTTAATATAGCCATTTCTTAACTAGGAAATTGCAATCACATATTAAAATATTATGGTCACACACCTTAGGCAGTAAAAATTCTCAGGCATTGGAAATTACCTGACAGGACTTCTGGCTCAGAAAAGTGATATTGAAGGTCTTTAGAACAAAAATGTCTACAAATCTGTGAAATATAAGAACATTAAGTTTTTACAATGTTCTACAAGAGGTATGAAATGAACACATAATCACGTCAATTCTGCCTATTCCATTTTTTAGTGTTTTCTATTTTTAGCATTTTATTGTTGGAACTTATGCATGCCTTCCTAGGAAACTTATTTTACTTTGCGTCACAGTCAAAAGATGGGAAATTGTAACCAAATGTTGAAATATGATAATTAACTCCTTGACTAAACAAAACTAACACTATTTCTGAATAGAAGCAATTATTTTAAGTCTGTAAGAAATGCAATGTAATATATTTATTTGTGCAATGTACACTGGTTGACTTGGCCAAAGCTACCCGTCAATGGAAAAAAGATAACAGCTCATGTAAAGCTATTTTCTAAGTGTCTAAATTTTGCTGACTTTTCTCACTAAAACCTTTTTTATTTTTTTGAGACAGGGTCTCGCTCTGTCCCCCAGGCTGGAGCGTAATCCTGGCTCACTGCAACCTCCACCTCCCGGATTCAAACAATCCTCCTGCCTCAGCCTCCCAAGCAGCTGGGATTACAGGCACATGACACCACCCCCAGCTAACTTTTGTATTTTTAGCAGAAACGGGGTCTCACCATGTTGGCCAGGCTGGTCTCGAACTCCTGACCTCGTGATCCACCCACCTTGGCCTCCCAAAGTGCTGGGATTACAGGCGTGAGCCACCGCACCCAGCCACTAAAACCTTTCTTAATTATTATTATCAAATCTAGAACTGCATGAGCCTCATTAATGCAAAGAAATATAAACTCACAGAACATGAAGCTTGAAATGGACCCAGGCGATCACTTCATTCAATTCTGTTTTACACATGGAAAACCTGAGATCTGAAAAGTGATATGGTCATGTGTACAGGGATCCCAGTTCAGAACTCTCTTATTATGGATAGAACTTAGCTAACCAGAAACAACCTCTGTTTGATTTGTGACTGTCTTGACTAACCCTGATAAACATCAGTTTTAGGAAATAAAGATTCTCTGTAAATGTGAATGTTCAAATATCAACAACAGAACATCTGTCATACTCATACAATTTCCTTTTCTAAACCAAGGCCTGAGCTCTTTGACTTGTTTCAAACTATATGAAATTTCTATTCACAACTTTAAAGAAATCTGGAAAACAAAATGAAAATATCCTCACAATCCTGACATCTTAGAATGCCAACTAGATATTGTCAGGGAATTATGCCATATTGGTTCTGAGTTGACAGCAATGCCTGCATGTGTGTAATTTCTGATAGCTAAAACCCTGGGCTCTGGAGCTAAGCCCTGACTACCCTTACTACCTGTATGATCCTGAGCAGGTTGCATAATTTATCGTCCATCAGTTTCCCCATTTATTCAATGGAGATAATAATAGCGCCTGCACCATAGGGTTATTGTGTACATATAAATACATGTAAACACACAGAATGGTACATGTTGGCTATTATTGTTATCCTTAATGATCAGATGATGATGATGATGATGATAATGATGATGATGATGCTTTGTAAAAAGGAGGCAGTGGATGAGATTTATTTACTCATCCTTAGTCATTAACAAATTAATTTCATTCCATAATTTACTTCAGAATTATGTTTAAAACTAATTTTATCTTAAATTCATCTAGATATGTCATCTCCACTTGTAACTTCTGAACTCAGGTATTATGCTTTAGATATCTTTGTATATAAATTGTAGTGCCTGGCAGCTTGCCTTATACATATCAGCTGCTCAGTAGGCATTTGCTGAATTACTGAATGAAGGCTTAAATAAACAAAGCTCAAAGGAAAAAGAGACTGTTGCCCACCTTCCTTTCCCACCCCACCCTGCACACACACATAAACCCCATCCAATTTATTGGAAGGCGCCCAAATCACTGATGAAACATTTGGCTCAAGTCTTCAAAATAGTACACAAATAGATAAATGGCCTTTTTTTCCTATAGCTTTTAATATCCTGTTCTTTATAAATGACTTTCAGACTCATTTTATATTATGGTTATCTTCTGAAAATGCATTATATCCTAATAGCCAGGCTTCTTTCTCTACCTCCAACCCTAGCTTTTTGGTTTGGTGCTGATTTTTTACTTTGAGACATTAATTTAAGTATTCTGCTTGTCAGTGGATGAGTGAATGAATTATTCATTTTATTATGAAACATAAATTTTAACGAACAGCATTATAACTCTTTTTATATGCCAAAAATAATAGATCATTCCAGAAGCTATTATGGCACCCTTTATCTAACAGAGGGTGCCCTTTTGAAAGCTGTGCCAAACTAATATGTTTTAATATAACTTCAACCATGAAACATTAAAAGAAGCCAGCTCAATTTAATATCTAGATAACAAAAATATAAGCCATACCTAACTTAAGTCATATTAGGATTATTTAATTGCTATCAACATTAACCAGGCAAAACCAAAATGTTTAAGCACTGCTTCCTATCCACAACCATAATGCAAAATCCTCACTTCTTTATCAAAATGTTATCATCATGAATATGGGATAAACTAAGAAACATAATTGACATAAAATAAAGTTAATCTCAACATTAATTACAATTTATTCTAACTAAAGACCCTACTACCATACTCCACACATTTGTATAAACATGCATAACTAGACTGAATTGCACTCAATATCTATTATACAAAGCATGCCATCTAAAGTTTCTGACTTTTCAGACCACTGTTATCACGTTAACATTTTAAAGATGTGTCTGCATAGCCAAGCATTGTTACATACCTCATAGTAATTATTATTTTTTCCTATATGCTATAGCTTCTGCTCAACATGATGATAAATTTTCAAGACCTTGTTAAAAATTCCAGTCCACATCCTCCCTTTCCCAAACTTACCTCTTTAGTTATAAGAGCAATGAGGCTTAGCTGACTGGCAGCTTGTTAGGCTCAACAGATAATGTGCATATTACTTTCTGGCCCATCTTTATTTTTTTAAATAATAATAAAAAGGAACATGAAAGATAATCATTACAGACTAAGAAATAGTCATTACAATGGTGGAGATAGATTTACTCCATGACAGAGAAGTGAATGAACCTAGACAGTTAAGCCTACACGGGAGCATGAAAAGCCATACTGATTACTTTAATTTCCTAAACTCTTTAGTGTTCTGAAAGGCTCTTTAAAACTTCATATTCTTTCACATTTGTCTGTTGCTATTATCTTGTCCAAAGCTTTCACTCACCTTCATGCTACCCAGGAAGACTGTTAGCATCAAACTGGCAAGATTTAATCAGAGTTTATTGCTTGAGATAAAAACACCACCACATTTTTTATCTTTTTATTAAATTTACAAACTTGGGTATCCACATTAGGGATCAAAAGGTGATTGCCTGTTTCCTCTACTGGAATGCAATGTTATACTTCTCATATAATAAAAAGCCCTTTCCTTTGATTTTGT
The DNA here is from genome assembly GCF_000001405.40 of Homo sapiens. Lineage (NCBI taxonomy): Eukaryota > Metazoa > Chordata > Mammalia > Primates > Hominidae > Homo > Homo sapiens. Next base: position 83,970,597 of record NC_000004.12, on the reverse strand, counting down.
AAAGAGAAACAAGACTTTTTCTTATTGGAGCAGGGCCCAGGAACTTTCTTTGAGATTATATTCAGGGATGATAATCTCTTTAGCCAAAAAAAAAAAAAAAAAAAAAAAAAAAAGGTGAATTTGAACATCTGGCTCTTGCTCATGGATATATTACAAAAGCAAAGTAATCACACTGTGCTCCTGGAGCGCAGCAATAACATTGTTGATTCAGAAGTCAGACAGTAAGAAAATTTTAGAGTGCCCACATATGTATACACAAATACATGCTAATGCGAATTAGAACTGCCTGTAACGAGGTTTCATGATAGCCCTATTTTAGATCTCAAAAAAGATCTAGAAGAAGTTTCTCCAAGAAGAATACTTTCTCCTTTATAGTGACTGTCAACTGCCACTTTTGGGACTTAGTCCTATGTTCTAAGTTGGAAACTCACAAATTCCAAAACTACTGGGTATATTCATTGCTTTTTTGTTTGTTTGTTTTTGACAGGGTCTTGATATATTGCCCAGGCTGGAGTGCAGGGGCTATTCACAGGCACAATCATAGCTCACTACAGTCTCAAACTCCTAATCTCAAGCAGTAGCTGGGACTGTAAGTATGCACCAACACTCCCGGTTTGGGTATCTCCATTGATTGGCAACCAGCACCACAGTAGATGCTGATGAAAAGAAAGTTATGAATGTCATGTAAAATGACAGTAGTATTAGCAAATGTGCTTTTAATTATAAGAAAATTACAATATGTAAAAAAATTTCAATTTTCCCATATTATCTCTTAATAATAACTGCCATTTGTTGAGCCCATTGGGTATGTTACATATATTAACACAACAGGATGGACATTATCTATCTTATATATATTATGTGTATATATACGGAAAACAGGACACAAATTGTCTGAGGCCATGGACAATTAGCTTGCAGTAAAGTAGGATTCTAAATTAGGTTTCTCTAGCTCCAAGACCCATGCCATTTTGTTTGGTCATTTGCTTCTGATGAATCAAATATTAATTCAGCCAAAGACAGCTATTCAAAGCTGGTTGAATAACTTACTATGTGTAATTCACTTGTGTCCTGCCTTTCTTCCGAACTTTTGTACAAAACCTTGATTATTTTAATAAGGCATTCTATACATAAAGTTTCAAATAAACCATAAGTACCTCAAGAAAATGTCATATAATTTAGAATTGAATCATAGCATATTTTTAATCTGGAAGCAACATATCTAAATAAGCCATTTTTATATTATAAATACAAACAGGTACAAAGAAGTATAGTTCACTTTACAAGCTGTTGTACATGCATAATACCATATTATGCTACCAAAGAAACTATTAAGTTATACATATTTTTTACAGCTTTAACTATTTTTGTTGTCAATTTCCTCTAATAAGATTTTTTCTGGATAAACAAAAATTTATCTACTCAAATGATTGTTTTTCTTCAACATCATAATGTTGCAGGCCTATTGATGTATATTTTTGTGTACTAAATAGTTTGTGGAGCTCTTCTTGAAGAATTATCTTCAGAGCTGATTAACCAGACACACCCTCCAGACATCATAGTCACAGCTGCTTTGAGACAGCAACAACCTCATCCCCGCAAATAGTATGGATTCCTGTCTTATTCAATAGGTCTGAATTTTAAATACTCTTAGCTTATTTCAAGAACTAAATCTATCCTCCACAAATAAAAATGTGCTGCCGCTCAGAATATTTAGGAGAATATGTGATAGCCAAGATACTTTTGGCTTATTTCAAAAATTCATCTATCTCCACAAAGGAAAATGTTTCACCATTCAGAATATTCAAGAGAATTTTCTTAGAAAAGAAATCCAAGATTGTATTCATTGGAATAACAGACCTTTCTTCAAGGTGACTTCTTTCAAAAGAACAATATTTAGGGGTATATAGAACATCATTTTTAAAATAATTTATTTTGCTATATTTACCACATTTCATGACACCCTAAAAGATTTTGGCTAATGAAATTTATACAGTTCAAATGTGTATTCCTGAAGAGACAAGACTGAGGGAAAAAAAATTATCTCAAAGTCATTCTCAAATTAGACATGAAATGAATTATTAATTTCTACATATTTTACCATCATGCTTGTAGTTTTAATAAACAAAAATCAAATGCATATAGGCTTCACACACTTTGTGTAATTGCTTGTTTAACATCCCCAAATTCCATAAATGCAAAAACTAGATCTGTCTGGCTTTCCATTAAGTCCCCAGCACCTAGCAAGGTGCTTAACAAATAGCAGATGGATGTTGGAAGGAATAAAGGAACAAAGAAAAGAATAGAAGAAGTTAGTGACTTGATTCTATACAGAGTGGACCTTGACACATACTGCAAGTGAATGTTAAACTAAAAGTATAATTTCTTTATCAGTGAATATATTTCCATGAATTTTAAGTATTTTGCTGATGATTTATTAAATATGTATTTCACTACTTTCTTTTCTTTTAATCAGTCCTATTCCATCCCCTTCAAATAATAAAAAAGTTTCAATGATTCAGACTATTTTTGAAAAGAAGCATACACACACACACACACACACACACACACACACTAAACAAGCCTTTAAAACTAAAAAGATTCATCAGAAAATCTTACAAACTCTGGAAAGAATACATCTCAACAATTCTCTGCACTTGAAGGATAATTTGAAAGGCACAGTTTGCCTTCATTAATAAATCTTAACACTAATGAACCTGCAAGAAGGATTTAGGAATCCATTGTACTTGAAAAAGATCAAGAGGAACATTGTCACATCAGGAAACCGTGCTAAGAGCTCGTTAAATGGCCTGACTTAAAATGCTGTATGAACCTAAACAAAGAAGTTTTTATAGTGTATCTTTCTGCTTCTACCTGCCTAGATATCAAATTATGTTATGAAGCATTCTCTATAAAGGAATAGATCAATGCCATATCTCCCTCATAGGAATGGGACAGATATTATTTGACTCCACTTACGGTTGCTATGAAATTTAGGCCCTCTCTTGCTAGAACTTCTCATTTTTCAAGAGAAGCCAGAAATAAGATTGTTATGTAAATCTTAACATTTTTAGTGCTGGCAACTATTTAAATTTTTTAGACACTGTGGGGGACTTCTGCTTTTCATAAGGATGTCAGAAGTTCACCCTAGAACAAGCTGGCTAAACTAGGTTAAAATTAAAACCATCCAGGAATTGAAGCACAAAGAAACCTAAATAAGGTGATAAGCCCTTCCTAGGACAGAAGAGATGCACAGCTACTTTCATCCCTGATGAAGCAGCAGGAGAAGGGAGAATCTACCATAGACAGCAGTAAGGAGGAACCAGACAAACTTTTAACAAACTTTTAATGGCTATCCGTTGAGATTATGGATTAAATTTCTGGGCTTTAGCCACAGAACAAGTCTGCATCATCTCACCAATGGTGTCTTCACTAAGTGCATGCAGGTAGTATACTGAAGGCTGGGAGTGGAAGGAGAGGAGGCAGGGTCTGCTGAGGCATGCAGGTCTTCCCCAAGTACAAGGGGGAAACCACTGAAGATCAGGGACAGGAGAGAAACGCTAAGAAAAGTCCCTTTAAGGTCTCTACTGATGTTCAGAAGTAGACCTCCAAAGAAAGAATTAAGGTACCTCTCAAAGATACAGAAAGCTGGAGGTGGGACCTATGGGAAATATCACCTGGCTGAGCAGAAGAAGAGATTGAGAAGAAATGTCCCAAAGCTTCCCAAATTTAATGAAAAGGTTGGAGGTAAATAAAGATATTACCAGACAAACAGACAAAAAAAAAAAAAAAAAAACCACCGTGGATGCCAAATACAAATACCTATAGGCCAGTACTGATTGCCAGTTTTCAGAACTTCCCCTAAACATTATTCATAATTCCCAAAATAGCTATTGTCAGGCTGGTTACTAATTAGTAACTAGCCAATAAACCATTTAGCTGACATTTACCTGTCAAATCTTCACATAAGATTATCTGGAAACAATGGAAACAAGACAACATTAGTGTCTGGAGATGAGAAGCAGTCATGAGTATAATTAGACTGAGAGTTCTTTGAAGTTAGGGTCCCTGTTTCTCTAATATTTATTTATTTTTTATTTTTCTATTTATTATTTTTTAGAGATAGGGTCTCACTCTGTTGCCTAAGCTGGAATGCAGTGGTGTAATCATAGCTCACTGCAGCTTCCAATTCCTGGGCTCAAGCCACCTTAGTAGATAGGTAGTACTACCACGTCCAGCTAATATTTTTTGTAGAAACTGAGTCTATATTGCCCAGGCTGGTCTCAAACTCCTGGCCTCAAGTGATCCTCCCACCTCAGCCTTCCAAAGTGCTGGGATTACAAGCATGAGCTATTGTGCCCAGCCCCCATCTTTAAACCCCCAGTTTCTGGTGCACAGAAGTTCCAAACAAATGTTTACTGATCACAGAATGTAACATATTGTTATGAGCATTCTGGACTCAAATTGATAAGATATTGCTTTTATTAACTAGTTCAGTTGCTCTTATTTCATTCATGTTTCTGTTTTTTAAATAATTTCTATCATACACCAAGGAAATAATTGTTTAAATAATCTCTATCATACGCCAAGGAAACCACACACCAGGACACAGTTACACTGGTTACGATATCTGTGGGACATGGTGTCATTTCTTACCCATTTTGACATCATCATATAGAGAGAGGGGAGGCAGGAACTGCTGATGTTTCATTGCTTAATAAGTTTAAGCAAAACCTTCCCACATTTTGTCTTTAAACGAGTTTACAAGGATAATGTCTGTTTACAAAATTGGAGGCTGAAGAATTAAAAATGTCATTTTTACCTGAAAAGGATATAGAGTACCCAACAACTGGACAACCAAGCTCCTGAAGAGAAGACATCAAAAGTAGAGCATACTTCATTAAAGGTCCCTTTCAAGCAGCTGTCATTTCATGATATATTTCAGTCAAGTAAAGGACAGCCCAGGTGCATTGTGGGATGATAGAACTTACCTTGGAGGAGCATTCTGGTTAATTGGCAGCACAAATAGGGTTGTAAATGCACAAATGAGATAAAATCTCAGTAATTCCTAAATATTAGAGCCTGCATGTCAGAGTGAGTTTTAATTAATAGAAGTATATAATGGTTTCTCACAAACAACTATAAAATATTTAAAAACTGTTATTTGTTCAGAACATTATTTTAAGGAAAATGAATGTACTGTGGTCAAGAATAGGCCAAGGCAAACATCCAGTCCAGCATGACTCAGCAGGTTTGGAGTGCATGTGCACAACTCCACTCATTATGTAACCACACCACATGAGGTGCATTAGGTGATCACCCATGTGAGCTTGTGCTTGGCTGGGAGCTGCTGTTGTCTGTAAAATGTAGAATTACCCTGCTAATGCTCTACATATGGCTCATGCTCAGGCTTGCTCACACCGAGAGAGAGAGTAAAGCCATGTCAAAACTGTCTATGATTCCTCTAGTGTTTTTCCAGCTATCCGCCACTTGCCCATCAACTTCCCTCAGACCTCAGTTAGAACCTGACAATTGGCATCATGAACAGGATCATGGAGTGAGTAAGACTACTGTCCCCGCTGATTCCTGTTGGCCATATGGCCACAACATGGGTTGTGGTACCCGGTGGCAGCTGTGCTGCTTGGATGGGCCCAGTAGAAACCTGGGCAGTGGTAGATGGGTCCCCCACAAGCATGGAGAAGGTGCTGAAGCAGCTGGAAGCTCAGAGCACCAAGAAGGAGCAAGCCTTTGCCAGCAGAATTGGATGGGTGTTTTTCACTGCGCTATGGGAAGTACACACCCAGTCCCTGAGGGACACAGCACAGGTAAGGGCCCTCCAGGTACAGGCAGGGCACCTGGAAGGCCAGCTACAGAGCTCAGAAAAAGAGTTAGAAGCTGCCATGAATGGGGACCTTCAAGTGGAGGTGGAGTGCCTGGAGGCCTGGCTACAGAGCTTAGAAATGAAGTGACCACTCCTATGGTGGCTCTCAGGGAAATAGAAGGCCATTGGTGGGACCAAGGGATCTGTGCCATAAAGAAGGGGAAGATGCCCTGCCCACCAGTGCTCCCAATGGGAGAAAAGGAGGCCCCAATGAGTGACACGCTTACAGATGTGGATAGATTTGGTTTTGGCTGGGGTCAACCAAGAGAAAATCGATTAACAGCCCAATGAGGAACACATTGAGGTACTCAACTTTGTGGAGACAGTTGTCTCCAGAGCAGCAATTCCAGAAAATGCCCATGAGGGAGAAGGACATTGCGAGTGACCCAGTCCTGCCCAGGCACTCCAGCTCAGACTATGTGCTGCAGCCAGGCAGGGATGTAAAGCCTTTTCTGTTTGATTAGGGAACTGGTTGAGGTGACCAGCTTGGGGACACACCAGACAACCAGAGGCCACATGTGGACTTGGCAATCCACTGGTCCCTGCACCCAGATAAGTTTCTGGACAAGGCTGCATGGACTGTTACGAAGACCAGTCAGTGAAAGCGAAACCTGTACCTTTGCACCTCAGCAACAGCTGCTTGGCTCCCCCCTTATGCAGTGTGTATGCCTCTCTCATACCTGAATACATTCTGAGAGTGAATTGGCTTGGCACAGCTTGGCAGCTGTGCTGTCTGTCATGGACTTGATGGACCACTTGATGACAGAATTGGGACAGTACCACTATGTGGTGGACTTGACCAATGCATTCTCAACTAACATTGCTCTAGAGAGCCAGAAAGAGTTTGCCTTCATGGAAAGGCAACAATGGACTTTCATAGTCTTGCCACAGGGATGTATGCACAGCCCCATCATATGTCATGGTCTTGTTGATGATATGATGTTAACCTCTGATTATCTTGCAGATTTAGAAGCGATAACACTCCTCTTGCCTAGAATTGAGATGAACTGGCTGAGATTCCCTTCCTGGCAGTCAGACGGGCTATTCAGCAGGCACAAGCCCTACGGGTAGTTGACTAGGGGAGCCCACTTGAGCTGGATGTGCATGTGACCACAGATGTTTTCAGCTGGGGCCTGTGTCAGCGCACAGAGAGCTTGAGAATGCCAGTAGGCTTTTGGTTCCAACTATGGAAGAGAGCTGAGCTCTAGTATTCCTTGATAGAGAGACAGCTAGCAGCTGTATATGCTGCCCTTCAGGCTTGAAAGAGTATGACAGGATGGGCTACAGTTGTCATGAAGGTGACTTATCCAGTAGTGGAATGGGTGCATTCATGGGTAACAACCCCTTGGACTGGAATGGTGCAGACATCCACTTTTGCAAAGTGGGACACCTACTTAGAACAGCAGAGTACTCTGAGTACAAGTTCCTTAGCAGCAGAACTAATCCTTAGCAGGATTAGTTCCTTAGCACCAGAACTAGATTAGCAAGGTGCTAATCTATTCGCAGTCCAGCCTAGCACTGAAACCATATGGTTTGATACCAGGTATGGACAAAGTAGTCAATGGACTGAACTCAGAGCAGTGCAAATGGTGATCACCAAGGAGGTGATACCTATGATAATCTGCACCAATAGCTGGGCAGTTTATAGAGGTTTAACCTTATTGTTAACTACCTAAAAGTTACAAAAGTGACTAGTTGGTCACCAGCCCATGTGGGGCCAGGCCATGTGCCAAGACCTCTAGGAGGAATGATGACCTCCTCCAACCAGGTATAGGGACAAAGGGTAACCTGTTGTTGCCTGGCCCAATGCCCCTAAAGGTAGGGAAATAAAAACCTGGCTTAATGTGTAAGGCCTATGTGTTGGACCCATGTGCCTGGGGCCTGTGTGCTCAGAGCCAATGTATAAGGCCTATGTGTCAGACCTGTGTGTTTAAGGCCTATGTCTCTCTCAGCCTAGGAGGTGGATTGTAAGGAAAATGGATGTGCTTCAGTCAAGAATAAGCTGAGGCAGACATCTGGTCTAGCATGACTCAGCAAGTTTGGAGCACAGGTACACAGCTCCGCTCGTTATGTAACCACACCATGTGAGGCACATTAGGTGATCACCCACATGAACTCGTGCTTGACTTGGAGCCACTATTATCTGTAAAGGTATAATTACCCTGCTAACACTGTACATACAGCTCGTGCCCAGGCTCACTCATGCCTAGAGAGAAAGTAAAGCCATGTCAAAACTGTCTATGATTCCTTGAGTGTTTTTCCAGCTACCCACCACTCGCCCACCAACTCTCCTTGGACCTCAGTTAGAACCTGACAACGTTGAAGATACTTTTTCGCCAATGGTGTTTAAAACCTAGCTGGGTATTTGTAGTTTAGATGGCAATGATATCCGCTCTAATTTGGCATGAAATATAATAAAAGCTCTAGAAACACTCTGTCACATAGATATTGTCATAAATAAGTCAAGCCTTAAACATTTTCACACTACCTTTAAAAAACATGGGAATTAAATGAAGCAAAGAAAAAATAAACCTACAATGTCATTGTGAATGCAGTGTTTGTTAATCCTCTTATAAAATGAATCTTCCCTAATCCTCAAGGAATATACTATGATAAAAATCAATGTCAAAGCTTGTCCCTACAGAATTTCCAAGATACTGAAAGTTTTTCTGGGAGAAAAAGTGGAGCATACATTTTTATTACATAGAGTATTTAATAGAAAATAGATCAAAGTAAATAAAATGGAACACTGTTGATGGATTATGGAGGAAGAAGAGAGCATTACTGAAAAGAAAAAGTTACAATTACAGAATATATCACAGAGTTATGCCTCTTAGAATTACTATAATCTATAACGTCTGAGCTCTGTTGACTCTTTGAACAAAGCTTCAGAAGAAAAATTATGTTTGGCACCAGCAGGTGGCATTGAAAAATAGCTTATTAGCATATTTTTATCTGAAGTCCACAGAACTGACCTTACCAAGAACATCTACTCGCAGCACAACCATTCCTGGGGTTTTGCCTCAGACCCTATTCTAGAGAAGTAGAAAGGCTGTACTTTGGAGGTTTTGTGCAACGATTTGGAGGGTAGTTGGAAGCATTCAAGTGGGCTCTCCCCAAGTCCTGCTCCTCTGTAGGGAGGCATGTGCTCTGAGAACATATTGAAGAAGCTGCATTCAAAGAAGCTCACTCAGTGGTTGGGCTAAGACTTTTTCCAAATGTGATTCTAAGGTTATTTTAAAATGCAGCAATCCAGGATTTTTATAATAATTTATTTTTGTTTTCCATTTATGTTTTTTGTTTGTTTTTAATTAAAACCAGAGCCAAATACAACTTCTGACGTTTACTTGTCAGAAGTATCTTAAACAGGTATCTTAATTCCTCTGTGCCTCAGTTTCCTCAACTACAAAATAATAATAAGAGTGCATCTCATATGCTTGTTGTGAGATTTAATAGTGTCTGGCATATAACACACATGATATAGGCATTTGCTATTTTATTGGAAATTCTCGAAACAGAAAAAGAAGTCACTGCTAGAGATTTTTATCTAATGAAGACTACAAGAACAATTTCCAGATAAGGATCTCAATGTAAGGACATTTTTATGAGGGCAACAATAATTGACAGGTGAATCCATTTAAGCAAAACCACCTTTCTAAATTCAATAAGCATAAACAAACACCTACTTAGAGTGCTTTTGAAAGACATCAGGTTTTCTTTTCCCTACTTTTACTTCTTCCCTCAACTTCAAAACATACCTTCTATCAAGTTGCACTTGTTATAACTATGTAATAAAATTAAACATTCAGTAAAATAATGTGAGTTTTTAAAATAGGGGTGTTGCTTCTGTGTGTCTTGGTTTGACTTGCCTCCCACAAAGCAGAGTCTTGCATGTAGACAAGAGTTTACATATAAGTAGTTAATGTAATCCCAAGAGTGGAGAACCTGAAAGAGCAGGGAGCCAATATAAGAGTGTTATTGAGCTGCTGATTGTTGTTAATATTAAGGTCTAAACTCCTCTGGAACCTTCTGAGAAGCTGTATAAACTGGACAGAAGAATGATATATTTATCTACAAGATCCTGTCCCCCATTGATTGAAGGTTTCCTAGGGGGCACAACTCCCTTGCACAAACTTGAAGTTGCTGCACCTATTCATACCGGGCGATTCCCTGAGGCTTTCCAGTGGTATCGCATGCTGTGGCACTAGAAAGCCTAGGTGGGTAGTCAGATGAGATTAAACATCATCGGTTTACACCTGCAAAATGTTTGTGGCTGCAACGATAGCTGAAATAAAGATGGGCCAAGATGATGGGAAGTGTCCAATATACTGTAAAAAATAAGTTGATTGCTTTAGAAAATCGTAATAGTAAGTAGCTAGTAAAATATTTCTACCAAATTCAATGTGGGCAAAATAACTGTAACAGGTTGGGAAAACAATTATAAAAATTTTCAAATTGCTTTATAAAGGTGTATAATTTTTCACTCCACTTGAACTAAAATGAAATTGGATATCATAAAAATGCATTTGTGATATGTGCAAAAATAGACTACAGATAGTTCTAAAGAAAAGATTAATGGTCAAAGAAAAGGCTCTGGCTCTGTATTGAATGATTGGTAAATAAGTATGTACTTATATTTTTAAGTTAGGTAAAACATTTAAGATATGTGTGTGTCATGTTTTATTATTTCATACTTTGTCCAAGTTTGCATAATGGTACCAATGGCATTAGCTAAAGGAGCTTTCACTGTATTTTCCTGAAATTCCTAATTTCATAGAATATTGACAGACAGTGTGGCAAAAGCATTCCCGAGATTATCTGAGATATATGGCACACATTATTACCACACAGTTTTATTAGCTATTTAAATCAATAGAAAATGCTAAATATCCAATATTCCAAACATTAATTGAATAGCCGCTACCTTTACTCTGGCCACAAGCAAAAGCCTTCTAACTGGCTTCCTGATCTCCAGCTTGAATCCATTCCCCACAGTGCAAATCTTTCTGAAGTGCAAATCTGAGCACATCAGCCTCTATTTGAAATCTATTGGCCTGGGATAAAATTCAAACTCCTTATTTGGTTTTATAAGGCCATTCATTCATATGTTCACCGTTAATTGAGCATCTTTTATATGCGAAGCCCCATACCAGAACACTGTTTAACTCTAACCCAGGGGTCCCCAACCCCTGGGGTGGCAAACCTGTACCTGTCCATGGCTTGTCAGGAACTGGGCCGCACAGCAGGAGGTGAGTGGCGGGCTAGAGAGCATTATCACTTGAGTTCCACCTCCTGTGAGATCAGCTGTAGCATTAGATTCTCACAGAAGCACGAACCCTATTGTGAACTGCACATGCGCGGGATCTAGGTTGCACACTTCTTATGAGAATCCAATGCCTGATGATCTGATGCAGAACAGTTTTATCTTCAAATCATCACCCCACCCCACTCCCTGTCTGTGGAAAAATTGTGTTTCAGAAAACCAGTCCCTGGTGCCAAAAAGCTTGGGGACTGCTACTCTAACATATTCTCTTACCACTACCTCCTCACCAACCAAACTCTGGTCGTTTGAACTTTTATCAGAGGGGTTGCTAGATGGTGAGATGAACTTGCCGGCTTTTCTAAGTCTCTGCTGAATTCAGTGCCCTTGGAAATGGCCAGGCATTCCTCCCATGCAATAGCTGATCAAATGATCATCTCCTTCTCACTGGTCCTGACTCTATTTGTGGAAGAGTCTGGAACTTCACTTCATAGCTTCCAACCTTGCAGAAAGCTACATGCTGCATTTTAGCTATCCTGTCTCTGATCTATATTTTTCCACACCAGAAAAATACTTAACTGCACCAACCATCTCTAGTGTCAATAAGAGAAAAATGTTCACCTGCCACAATCGCATGGTTTCTCTGCTTCACATAATTGCTTTGGTTTAGACCAGAGCAACACTTCTTACTCTTGCTAGTTGCTCCAAGGATTGCTCTGCCTCTAAGTCCTCCAGCCCTATCTTTTTCTGTAATACAAAGGTTTTACAATCTTTCAGAACAAAAATTAAAATAGGTTTTTATGGCCGGACACGGTGGCTTATGCCTGTAAGCTTACCCCTGGAAGCACTTTGGGAGGCCGAAGCGGATGGATCACGAGGTTGGGAGATTGAGACCATCCTGGCTAACATGATGAAACCCCATCTCTACTAAAAATATAAAAAATTAGCCGGGCGTGGTGGCAGGTACCTGTAGTCCCAGCTACTCAGGAGGCTAAGGCGGGAGAATGGCATGAACCCAGGAGGCAGAGCTGGCAGTGAGCGGAGATCGCACCACTGCACTCCAGCCCAGGCAACAGTGTGAGACTCCGTCTCAAAAAAAAAAAAAAGTTTTTATTACTTTAAAATGTATCACAAAAATTAAAGCCTAGTAAGCAGAGAAGGAATTACCAGTAGTTGAAGACAGGTTGACAGAATTCTTAATGCTAGATTCTTTGATTTAGTTAAAAAAAAAAAGGTGGAATAAAGGTTCTTGGAGCCAAGATGGCCGAATAGGAACAGCTCCGGTCTACAGCTCCCAGCGTGAGCCACGCAGAAGACGGGTGATTTCTGCATTTCCATCTGAGGTACCGGGTTCATCTCACTAGGGAGTGCCAGACAGTGGGCACAGGTCAGTGGGTGCGCGCACCTTGCGCGAGCCGAAGCAGGGCGAGGCATTCCCTCACTCGGGAAGCGCAAGGGGTCAGGGAGTTCCCTTTCCTAGTCAAAGAAAGGGGTGACAGACGGCACCTGGAAAATAGGGTCACTCCCACCCGAATACTGCGCTTTTCCGATGGGCTTAAAAAACAGCTCACCAGGAGATTATATCCCACACCTGGCTCGGAGGGTCCTACGCCCACGGAATCTCGCTGATTGCTAGCACAGCAGTCTGAGATCAAACTGCAAGGCAGCAGCGAGGCTGGGGGAAGGGCGCCCGCCATTGCCCAGGCTTGCTTAGGTAAACAAAGCAGCCTGGAAGCTCGAACTGGGTGGAGCCCACCACAGCTCAAGGAGGCCTGCCTGCCTCTGTAGGCTCCACCTCTGGGGGCAGGGCACAGACAAACAAAAAGACAGCAGTAACCTCTGCAGACTTAAATGTCCCTGTCTGAAAGCTTTGAAGAGAGCAGTGGTTCTCCCAGCACGCAGCTGGAGATCTGAGAATGGACAGACTGCCTCCTCAAGTGGGTCCCTGACCCCTGACCCCCGAGCAGCCTAACTGGGAGGCACCCCCTAGCAGGGGCAGACTGACACCTCACACGGCCGGGTACTCCAACAGACCTGCAGCTGAGGATCCTGTCTGTTAGAATGAAAACTAACAAACAGAAAGGACATCCACACAAAAAACCCATCTGTACATCACCATCATCAAAGACCAAAAGGAGATAAAACCACAAAGAAGGGGAAAAAACAGAGCAGAAAAACTGGAAATTCTAAAAAGCAGAGTGCCTCTCCTCCTCCAAAGGAACTCAGTTCTGCATCAGCAACGGAACAAAGCTGGATGGAGAATGACTTTGACGAGCTGAGAGAAGAAGGCTTCAGATGATCAAATTACTCCGAGCTACAGGAGGACATTCAAACCAAAGGCAAAGAAGTTGAAAACTTTGAAAAGAATTGAGAAGAATGTATAACTAGAATAACCAATACAGAGAAGTGCTTAAAGGAGCTGATGGAGCTGAAAACCAAGGCTTGAGAACTACGTGAAGAATGCAGAAGCCTCAGGAGCCGATGCCATCAACTGGAAGAAAGGGTATCAGCAATGGAAGATGAAATGAATGAAATGAAGCAAGAAGGGAAGTTTAGAGAAAAAAGAATAAAAAGAAACGAGCAAAGCCTCCAAGAAATATGGGACTATGTGCAAAGACCAAATCTACGTCTGATTTGTGTACCTGAAAGTGACGGGGAGAATGGAACCAAGTTGGAAAACACTCTGCAGGATATTATCCAGGAGAACTTCCCCAATCTAGCAAGGCAGCCCAACATTCAGATTCAGGAAATACAGAGAACGCCACAAAGATACTCCTCGAGAAGAGCAACTCCAAGACACATAATTGTCAGATTCACCAAAGTTGAAATGAAGGAAAAAATGTTAAGGGCAGCCAGAGAGAAAGGTCGGGTTACCCTCAAAGGGAAGCCCATCAGACTAACAGCAGATGTCTCGGCAGAAACTCTACAAGCCAGAAGAGAGTGGGGGCCAATATTCAACATTCTTAAAGAAAAGAATTTTCAAGCCAAAATTTCATATCCAGCCAAACTAAGCTTCATAAGTGAAGGACAAATAAAATACTTTACAGACAAGCAAATGCTGAGAGATTTTGTCACCACCAGGCCTGCCCTAAAAGAGCTCCTGAAGGAAGCACTAAACATGGAAAGGAACAACTGGTACCAGCCGCTGCAAAATCATGCCAAAATGTAAAGACCATCGAGACTAGGAAGAAACTGCATCAACTAACGAGCAAAATAACCAGCTAACATCATAATGACAGGATCAGATTCACACATAACAATATTAACTTTAAATGTAAATGGACTAAATGCTCCAATTAAAAGACACAGACTGGCAAATTGGATAAAGAGTCAAGACCCATCAGTGTGCTGTATTCAGGAAACCCATCTCACGTGCAGAGACACACATAGGCTCAAAATAAAAGGATGGAGGAAGATCTACCAAGCAAATGGAAAACAAAAAAAGGCAGGGGTTGCAATCCTACTCTCTGAAAAAACAGACTTTAAACCAACAAAGATCAAAAGAGACAAAGACGGCCATTACATAATGGTAAAGGAATCAATTCAACAAGAAGAGCTAACTATTCTAAATATATATGCACCCAATACAGGAGCACCCAGATTCATAAAGCGAGTCCTGAGTGACCAACAAAGAGACTTAGACTCCCACACATTAATAATGGGAGACTTTAACACTCCACTGTCAACATTTGACAGATCAACGAGACAGAAAGTCAACAAGGATACCCAGGAATTGAATTCAGCTCTGCACCAAGTGGACCTAATAGACATCTACAGAACTCTCCACCCCAAATCAACAGAATATATGTTTTTTTCAGCACCACACCACACCTATTCCAAAATTGACCACATAGTTGGAAGTAAAGCTCTCCTCAGCAAATGTAAAAGAACAGAAATTATGACAAACTGTCTCTCAGACCACAGTGCAATCAAACTAGAACTCAGGATTAAGAATCTCACTCAAAACTGCTCAACTACATGGAAACTGAACAACCTGCTCCTGAATGAATACTGGATACATAACGAAATGAAGGCAGAAATAAAGATGTTCTTTGAAACCAATGAGAAGAAAGACACAACATACCAGAATCTCTGGGATGCATTCAAAGCAGTGTGTAGAGGGAAATTTATAGCACTAAATGCCAACAAGAGAAAGCAGGAAAGATCCAAAATTGACACCCTAACATCACAATTAAAAGAACTAGAAAAGCAAGAGCAAACACATTCAAAAGCTAGCATAAGGCAAGAAATAACTAAAATCAGAGCAGAAGTGAAGGAAATAGAGACACAAAAAACCCTTCAAAAAAATTAATGAATCCAGGAGCTGGTTTTTTGAAAGGATCAACAAAATTAATAAACCTCTAGCAAGACTAATAAAGAAGAAAAGAGAGAAGAATCAAATAGATGCAATAAAAAGTGATAAAGGTGATATCACCACCAATCCCACAGAAATACAAACTACCATCAGAGAATACTACAAACACCTCTACGCAAATAAACTAGAAAATCTAGAAGAAATGGATAAATTCCTCGACACCTACACTCTCCCAAGACTAAACCAGGAAGAAGTTGAATCTCTGAATAGACCAATAACAGGATCTGAAATTGTGGCAATAATCAATAGCTTACCAACCAAAAAGAGTCCAGGACCAGATGGATTCACAGCCGAATTCTACCAGAGGTACAAGGAGGAACTGGTACCATTCCTTCTGAAACTATTCCAATCAATAGAAAAAGAGGGAATCCTCCCTAACTCATTTTATGAGGCCAGCATCATCCTGATACCAAAGCCGGGCAGGGACACAACCAAAAAAGAGAATTTTAGACCAATATCCTTGATGAACATTGATGCAAAAATCCTCAATAAAATACTGGCAAACCGAATCCAGCAGCACATCAAAAAGCTTATCCACCATGATCAAGTGGGCTTCATCCCTGGGATGCAAGGCTGGTTCAATATATGCAAATCAATAAATGTAATCCAGCATATAAACAGAGCCAAAGACAAAAACCACATGATTATCTCAATAGATGCAGAAAAAGCCTTTGACAAAATTCAACAATCCTTCATGCTAAAAACTCTCAATAAATTAGGTATTGATGGGACGTATTTCAAAATAATAAGAGCTATCTATGACAAACCCACAGCCAATATCATACTGAATGGGCAAAAACTGGAAGCATTCCCTTTGAAAACTGGCACAAGACAGGGATGCCCTCTCTCACCACTCCTATTCAACATAGTGTTGGAAGTTCTGGCCAGGGCAATTAGGCAGGAGAAGGAAATAAAGAGTATTCAATTAGGAAAAGAGGAAGTCAAATTGTCCATGTTTGCAGATGACATGATTGTATATCTAGAAAACCCCATTGTCTCAGCCCAAAAGCTCCTTAAGCTGATAAGCAACTTCAGCAAAGTCTCAGGATACAAAATCAATGTACAAAAATCACAAGCATTCTTATACACCAACAACAGACAAACAGAGAGCCAAATCATGGGTGAACTCCCATTCACAATTGCTTCAAAGAGAATAAAATACCTAGGAATCCAACTTACAAGGGATGTGAAGGACCTCTTCAAGGAGAACTACAAACCACTGCTCAAGGAAATCAAAGAGGATACAAACAAATGGAAGAACATTCCATGCTCATGGGTAGGAAGAATCAATATCGTGAAAATGGCCATACTGCCCAAGGTAATTTACAGATTCAATGCCATCCCCATCAAGCTACCAATGACTTTCTTCACAGAATTGGAAAAAACTACTTTAAAGTTCATATGGAACCAAAAAAGAGCCCGCATCGCCAAGTCAATCCTAAGCCAAAAGAACAAAGCTGGAGTCATCACACTACCTGACTTCAAACTCTACTGCAAGGCTACAGTAACCAAAACAGCATGGTACTGGTACCAAAACAGAGATATAGATCAATGGAACAGAACAGAGCCCTCAGAAATAATGCCACATATCTACAACTATCTGATCTCTGACAAAACTGAGAAAAACAAGCAATGGGAAAAGGATTCCCTTTTTAATGAATGGTGCTGGGAAAACTGGCTAGCCATATGTAGAAAGCTGAAACTGGATCCCTTCCTTACACCTTATACAAAAATTAATTCAAGATGGATTACAGACTTAAACATTAGACCTAAAACCATAAAAACCCTAGAAGAAAACCTAGGCATTACCATTTAGGACATAGGCATGGGCAAGGACTTCATGTCTAAAACACCAAAAGCAATCACAACAAAAGCCAAAATTGACAAATGGGATCTAATTAAACTAAAGAGCTTCTGCACAGCAAAAGAAACCACCATCAGAGTGAACAGGCAACCTACAAAATGGGAGAAAATTTTCACAACCTACTCATCTGACAAAGGGCTAATATCCAGAATCTACAATGAACTCAAACAAATTTACAAGAAAAAAACAAACAACCCCATCAAAAAGTGGGCAAAGGACATGAACAGACAGTTCTCAAAAGAAGACATTTATGCAGCCAAAAAACACATGAAAAACTGCTCATCATCACTGGCCATCAGAGAAATGCAAATCAAAACCACAATGAGATACCATCTCACACCAGTTAGAATGGCAATCATTAAAAAGTCAGGAAACAACAGGTGCTGGAGAGGATGTGGAGAAATAGGAACACTTTTACACTGTTGGTTGGACTGTAAACTAGTTCAACCATTGTGGAAGTCAGTGTGGCGATTCCTCAGGGATCTAGAACTAGAAATACCATTTGACCCAGCCATCCCATTACTGGGTATATACCCAAAGGACTATAAATCATGCTGCTATAAAGACGCATGCACATGTATGTTTATTGCGGCATTATTCACAATAGCAAAGACTTGGAACCAACCCAAATGTCCAACAGTGATAGACTGGATTAAGAAAATGTGGCACATATACACACCATGGAATACTATGCAGCCATAAAAAATGATGAGTTCATGTCCTTTGTAGGGACATGGATGAAATTGGAAATCATCATTCTCAGTAAACTATCACAAGAACAAAAAACCAAACACCGCATATTCTCACTCATAGGTGGGAATTGAACAATGAGATCACATGGACACAGGAAGGGGAACATCACACTCTGGGGACTGTTGTGGGGTGGGGGGAGGGGGGAGGGATAGCATTGGGAGATATACCTAATGCTAGATGACGAGTTAGTGGGTGCAGCGCACCAGCATGTCACATGTATACATATGTAACTAACCTGCACA
The DNA here is from genome assembly GCF_000001405.40 of Homo sapiens. Classification (NCBI taxonomy): domain Eukaryota; kingdom Metazoa; phylum Chordata; class Mammalia; order Primates; family Hominidae; genus Homo; species Homo sapiens. The sequence continues at coordinate 83,952,222 of NC_000004.12, read as the reverse complement.
TTGTGCACATGTACCCTAAAACTTAAAGTATAATTATAATAAATAAATAAATAAATAAAGTGAATAAAAACTAACAACAACAACAAAAAAAAGTACATATTTTAAACCAAATTGACAGTACTTAAAATTTGAGGGAAGAATTTTTAATTTTTTTTTAATCACAGAGAATGTGAATTACTCCAAAGCCTAAATAATAATAGACTTTGAAGCCTAATAATAACAGTTTAAATAATATGAACTAAAGAAGTTCCATTTTGCCTTTATCACAAGAATATTCTTGTATTCTTGCCTTCTTCCATAGGGAAGGCCTGGTCAGTCTCTAGAGATGTGAAGTGTAGGAATATTTTATCTGTACAACACCTATAGTTAATACAAAATCAGCTCTCACTAAATGTTAGGGAAATAATGTTCAGGTTTAATTTCAGATTCTAAGATGACTGATAACATTTAAATGGAGTGTTGAGTACTGATTACTGTGGAAATGAACGTGGTATTGAGGAAAACAATGTGAAAAGCCTTGGTTGTATGACCTTGAGCAAGTCATTTATCTTCTTTGGTTCTGAATTTTCTTAGCTGTGAAATGAGGGAGTCAGACTAAACTGTCTCCAAGATCCTTTTATAAAATTGGATTCTTCTTCAACACTAACTTGGACTGTTTTCAATCATCCTTTTCATGCTTATTTGACATACATAGTTGAGATTTTCTTTAAACATTAGAACTGTGCAGTTGCTTATTTTCCACATTGGATTATATCCTCTGCCACAGTCGTCATTTTCTGCATTCCAAAACATTTCTCTTATTCTCTGATGTGGGTATTGACAAGCAATGATGCCGATGCCCAACATGTCAGATTTGTCAAGGATGCTCCCTCCCTCTGCCATGAATCAATGGCCAGCTCACCTCCTTGGAAAGCCACAGGCTCTCTCTTAGAGAGTCAGGACAAATTCAACATTCTCCCCAAATCCCAAGCCACCAGAGGAGAGGAGATGAAATCTCTGCAAACTTTACACTTTGCTGGTGAAAATCTCCAAGTCTGCCCTAGGATACTGACTTTGGTGCATTTAGCAGAGCTACATGGAGAGAAGACAGCTGTAAATGGTGAATTCAGAGGAATGGGCTTCAGTCTCCTTTAACATGATGGGATGTATCCATTTCTTTGGTACAGGTTGTTTTCTAGCTGTCAATAAATACTAGCATACGTTTTTGAAAGTCTTAAACTATGGTCTTCTTTTTCAATGGAAAGGGAAATTGAAAATATCTGGCATATAAAGTACAACAGTGCATGACACTTTTTACAGCAGGTCTTAGAAATAACATAAATGATCACGTCAATAGTTTTGCCATATTGCTTATTCCTTTATCCACTCTATAAGCACTTTTTTGAATGTCTACCAAGTATCAGGTCTTAAACTAGGCATTGAGGATACAGAGATAAAAGGATCTCTGCCTTTAGAGCTTCACCATCTGGTGGGAAGCTAAGCAGGTGAGGGGACGGTGGGTGAAGAGGGACATACTCAAATAAATCTTGTCTATTAACTTGAAACTTGTCACCAGTTTTATGGGCTTACTAGTAAAAGCCCTCTGAACTGAAATGAACCAAGCAACAGTAAAAGATCATTACTGAATACACTGCTATGCTATTGATTAGCTCCTATTTGTCATACACATTAATGACAAAAAGCAACATGTAAGTGCTAAGTATGAGTATTTTCACCATCCAGTTAATAACTTAATTGTGACATTTGGGTTATATGTCAAGCTTCGAGCAACATCCAAAGTATCACTAAAATGCAACAGTATGGTGTCATCAAATATAGTGATCCAAAGATGATAAAATTTTATGTATGTTTTTATGAGTTGTCTATGTACAAGTCAGCAAATCTATAACAAGTAATTTGTAATAGACATAAATTGATATTAATATAATAGCTGTATATTTAACATAACCATCCATTTTGTCTCATAGTCCACAAAATGTGTAATAATCATGAGATGCATAAAGTCTCCCTGTGGGAGGCATGGACTTGAGTCAAGGGAGGCAGCCAACCCATGGAAATTCAACAGGAAAGGAGTTAGGAAAATAATATTCCTGACTTCACTCCTCTCCTTTCCTCCTTTCCTCCTATCTTCATTTAGCACTCCACTGGGTAAACCCAACTAGAAGCCATAGAGCTGAGAAGCCTATTGATGCAGTCCATACAGGCCAGCCTCCCAGGGCACGTAGTAGGGTAGGTTAGGGTGAGGTGTGGAGGGACAAGTGGAAGATTTCCAGCACAGTGGCAGTAAATGTAGAGAAATATGGGTTAGATGTTAGCACAAGACAGTGTTTTAAGTTTATTTAACCCTATGCTCAAGGGTGTGGATTTCAAGACTGAAATCAGGATGCGTGTTAGTGCTATTGTATGCCATTTTCCATTAGTGGCTGAAGAATACTAAGCTAGAAAGATAATTAATTATGTTCACGATACAATAAACCCAAAAAAGCAAATAAATTGAAATGATAGGCTGAAATCAATATAATAACATTTATTTGGGGAAAATGTTACATTTTACATGTTACAAAATAATCAATCACAAAAGAAGGATAGAAATAGATGTGATAAAAGCTTGAAGCTTTTAATTGACCAGAAGTGCAATGGAAGAATGATTGACTTCAATCTATGAATAGAAATACAGTATCAGATCCAAAGAAGGGACTAGATACATTGTCAGAATATGTTTCTGCATTCCAAAAATGGGGACTAATCAACATGGTAAAGATGGAAACTATGGCACATCCAAAAGCAATCCTGCTGAGTCCAGGGGCTTTAAGCCCTGCTGCAGGTGGTCCATGCCTCCACCAGAGACTCTGAGTTAGCTCTGTGTTAATAATCAACTAGAGCATTTGGTCGTTCTGTTTCTAGATAGGATTTGAATCATTTCTTCATGCAACTTCAATTTTTCCCAGGTGAGAAATTTGAGATATTTCAGAGAAACTGGCAATATTCCAGTAATTTTCCATTTAAATCATATACATAAAAATATCTGACATAATTTATTTGTCTTCAGATTCCTTTTTCCCTTCAATTTAAGATTTTTAAGTGGGTCATTTAAAAGTAGAGATTGACATGAAAAATGTCATCACAGATTCTGTGAACATGTGATGGGGAAAATGGAGAAAGCTAACAAGCTTTGAGCATTTACTCTGCACAAATACTTTACATATATTACCGTATTTACCATAAAACTATCCTATAATGTTGATATTACTATTCCTATTTTATTGATATTAAAAAAAAAACTTTGTTTAAAAAGGCAACTAAGTTCACCTATCTGCAAATATCAGGATTCAAATCATTTATTCCAGAATAAACAATTTTTTCTTTGTCTTGAGCTGAGATATTTCAAACCTTATTTCTCTTTGTAAGTCCTTATTATAATTTTGCTCTAATTAAGTTGTGTGAACTACATTTGGAAGACAAAACACACGAGATACTCAGAAGTATTCAGATGAGTAATGATCAATAGTGGAGAATAGCAATGAGGTTCATAAAAGTTTAGGCTGACCAAACCTCTCACCAAACTAGGATTTGTCAATGCCAAAGCTACTCCATTCCTATGCATTTATATTTTCAATCTAGATATTTACATAACTAGTTAGCAGATTATATTATATCATCTCTAGCCAGATTTCTTCATCCTGCACACAGAATATTCTGAATTGCTAAGTAATTACTAAGAGGAAGATAGGATGTTATTTAGAATAGGTCATATTAGTGAGCTATTATTTATGATTATACATATAAGCCCAGATGAATCTTTATTGGATCACCAGTAAAAAAATATTGTGCCACATTATAATAGCTTAGACATATATGAAAAATACACTAGGTTATTTTTTAGTATTTGGGGAACATCAAAGCAAGATAAACCCACTACAATTATTAAATCTTAAAAAAAATAATAAATGATTAAAGAAATTCTACTAGGCAGTGCTTGGCCAACCAAATTCAAACATATTAGGAAGTAACATGGCTGTATTTTTAAAGGATATAGTTGCATTGCTTGCATTGTTTCAGAATCCTGTGTTTTCAAGCAGCTTGAAATTCTAGCCTCCTGGAGCCACATACTGACTTGCTGAGCCCTATTCAGATTTCTCTGAAGCCCTGGGCCGGGGCATGAAAACAGTCTTGCTGCAAAGGAGACTAAATTAGCTCCTTGAGGGCACCAGGCATTTTCCCCAAGGGCAGCGTTTGGCCCTAGCTACAGTGCTTGTTTTCAGTCATCAAGAGACAACATTTAGTTACTCTCTTGTCATGAGCCTCTTGTGCCTTTGGGAGAGAGAGAATTATAGTCTATCTTCCAACCACATGACCCAGAGCTTCAGTCGCAAAGCTGCTAATGTTGATCATATGACAAATAACTAAACCGCCCTGTTAAAAGCCTTATAGGGGTTTATTCAGAAGAAGAGAGCCAAAAAGAAGAGAGATGAGCAGCAAGAGCTCCCACCTATTTCTTCCCCTTCCCACTCTCAGCTCTTTGCATGGAGTGCAGAGGCAGCCCTCAGTCACTTAAGACTGCTTTGATGGGGAAGATACTCATGGTGTTTGACTTTATTACAGCTGAGCCAAATCAAATGCACAGGCACTGCTTCCTTAGATGTCTATATTTCACTTAAACTGGGATAAAGCAAAGAAACTGGAATATTGTCTCATCATGCATTCTAAATCAGCCAGGGTAGAAAATAATGGGGAGTTAATCAGATCACTGAAACTCTAATTCACTTGGTATTGATCGGGCAGATTCCTAATGGGATGGCAGACCAATTTCAAATTACAGTAAGCCGACTTGTCCTGGAATACCAATGACCAGGCTGGAGGATGAGCCAAGAGGACTGTGAGCTCTGCTCTCCGGATGCTCCCGCCTTGCTGGCAGGCATAAATGCATAATCCAGTGCGGCGTTTAGCTAATTAATAGGGGATTGATGAAAGGTTCAGTTTTGAAAGCAGCCATCTCACTTGAATAAACGTGGGACCAGATCCCCATGGGGAAGGCTAGTGGGTCCTTGGAAAGTAAGTATACAATGAAAGCTAATGGAAAGTATGCAATTAACTCAGGCTTTTAATTATATTAATCAGTGACTTCATAGGAGCTCACTGCATACAGAATTTACTCCTTAGCTCTGTGCCAACACTGTGTTTCTGATTCATGTCTGAACCAAACTTAAACAGCAACTTGAAGAAATAGGTGCAGGTACATTTATGTTAATTAATTTTCCCCGTGGCTAGAAGGTTTTCTGGTATGGAAGGATAAAGAGCAGAAAAAGGAGAAGAAAGGGGAGGAGAGAAGGAGGCAACTGGCGACAATGAACATTTTCAAAGCAGTGAGCTAAGAACTATTTTTGTTAAGATTGGTTGTTACTTTATACTTTCTTCCACTTAGGATTATTTGGCTTGGGTGTGTGAACAAATGACCAGTGTATTTACATGTAGTGAGTGCAGCCTAAAGACATAATGGATTAACTGTTACATTGTAGAAATAATTTGCTAAACTGCCAGGTAGAACATTCAAATGGATAAATTTGTTCTCACCAATGATAACTTCTTGGCTTAGGTCCCTTCCTTCATCCTCTTTCTCTCTCTCCTATGTGTGTGTATGTGTGTGTGCATGTATATTTGTATGCACAAGGTGTGTGTGTGAGAGAGAGATGTTTGTGCGTATGTGGGGGAGGTGTGGGTGTGTGCGTGTGTGTGGTGTGTATGTGTGTATGGTGTGTTTGTGTCTGTGTGTGTGCTGTACATCTGGGTTGTGTTTATATGCACAATGTGTGTCTGGTATGTGTGTATGTGTGAGGGGTATTTGGGGTGCAAGCAGGTACAATATATATGTTTGTGTGCGTGCCTCTATGTGTGCATGTTGTATGTGTGTGTGTGTGTGTGTGTAATGTACTTATCTATCATGCTCCCTTTCTCTTCTTAGAGTCTCAGCAGACACAGATCTAGGCAGACATCAGGTGGACAGAATCTAAGGTGAGCAACTTCCAGTAAACCACAGACTGTAAGGTTGATGCAGATAGACAGACCCCAGCCTTTTACAAAGAAAACAAAGTCATGTTGTTGCCAGGTGGGGGTCTCTTTGCTTTATTTTTCATTTTCTCAATATATCCCTCAGGTAACTTGATTTAGGAAGTAGGCAGTGAAAACTGATTTATTTTAAACCAAAGCTTTATAGCAGTTAGTGCTTAACCAGACATAAAACTCACTGTTTTAAGGATTTTTACAAGTATTAACTAAATGTGTTATTATCCCCATTTTATGGAAAACTGTGACACAAGGGGGTTAATTAATTTGCCTAAGTTCATCTACCTAGTAGGCCAAGAAACCCACTCCAGAGTCCAGATTCCTTACCACTATGCTAGTCGGGGTTGCGGGCTGAGTTTCAGTGTGTGAACGCGAAGAAAATGGGAAACATGGACTATTGTTCATGATGACAGCTGAGATTTGACCTATTTGAAGTCAGTCTGAGCATCAATCATGCATACTCCCCCAGTAATAATACTACTATGTAGAATTTACCATGTAGACTACCATACTACTAGTCGAAGTTAGTCTGTTATTCTGACATGGATGTCATGTATGTATATGTTCCTAAAATAGAACACAGCATAGAACACTGTCACAATTCCCTGAGGAAATAAATAAGCAAATCATAGTATATTAATATTATGTAACATGAATTGCTAAATATAGCAATTCATAGCATAGCATTAAAAAATTATGATTTCACAGACTAACTGATTATGTCAAATGTAATACATGATCCAAGGAGGCAGGGATTTTTGTCTCTGTCCTTAGATGCTAGTCTGGCCCTAAGAAGCACTAATTAAGCATTTGTTGAATGAATAAAATATTTATATGCACTTATGTTAACTGAAAAAGTAAAATTTAAAATTATATGTGCCCATTGATTACAACTCTGAATTTTCTGAACAGAATGAAGAAGAGAGGAAGTGGTGGAGATTGTCAAAAAGTAGATTGTTACTTTTCATTACAAAAGTAGATTGCTAATTTTAATGTAAATTGTAGTAAAATATGACAAAATATTCAGTTGTTTGGTTATTGCCCTTGCCTCTTATTTTAGATGTATAATTTTAAATTACAAATTTACAAGCTTTATAATATAGTATATGATATAATATAGTACAGTAGTATAATATGGTATATTAATATTTTTAATAGCTGAAAAAATAGTAACCACCTAAGTTACCACTAATTAAAATAAATTGCAATCTATAAAACTGACTACTATATAGAAGGTGAAGTTACTAAGTTACATTTGCATAGAATATGGATAATATTTAAAACAATGTTGGTTTTTAAAAACCTACAAAGGAATATATAGAGAATATACTATTTAATGTAATAAATAGCATTATAATAAACAATACTGTATTGTATAGTATTGTAATCAATAATATAGTATTGCTTCCAGATAGAAACATATATGGTAAATGTTTTTTAATGTAGACATTAAAGAATTTTTAAGCCCTCTCCCTCTCCCTCTCCCCATGGTCTCCCTCTCCCTCTCTTTCCATGGTCTCCCTCTGATGCCGAGCCGAAGCTGGACAGTACTGCTGCCATCTCGGCTCACTGCAACCTCCCTGCCTGATTCTCCTGCCTCAGTCTGCCGAGTGCCTGCGATTGCAGGCGCGCGCCGCCACGCCTGACTGGTTTTCGTATTTTTTTGGTGGAGACGGGGTTTCGCTGTGTTGGCCGGGCTGGTCTCCAGCTCCTAACTGCGAGTGATCCGCCAGCCTCGGCCTCCGGAGGTGCCGGGATTGCAGACAGTGTCTGGTTCACTCAGTGCTCAATGGTGCCCAGGCTGGAGTGCAGTGGCGTGATCTCGGCTCGCTACAACCTCCACCTCCCAGCCGCCTGCCTTGGCCTCCCAAAGTGCCCAGAGTGCAGCCTCTGCCTGGCCGCCACCCCGTCTAGGAAGTGAGGAGCGTCTCTGCCTGGCCGCCCATTGTCTGGGATGTGAGGAGCCCCTCTGCCTGGCTGCCCAGTCTGGAAAGTGAGGAGTGTCTCTGCCCGGCCGCCATCCCATCTAGGAAGTGAGGAGCGCCTCTTCCCGGCCGCCATCCCATCTAGGAAGTGAGGAGCGTCTCTGCCCGGCCGCCCATCGTCTGAGATGTGGGGAGCGCCTTTGCCCCGCCGCCCCGTCTGGGATGTGAGGAGCGCCTCTGCCCGGCTGCGACCCTGTCTGGGAGGTGAGGAACGTCTCTGCCCAGCTGCCCCGTCTGAGAAGGGAGGAGACCCTCCGCCTGGCAACCGCCCCATCTGAGAAGTGAGGAGCCCCTCCGCCTGGCAGCCGCACCGTCTGAGAAGCGAGGAGCCCCTCCGCCCGGCAGCCACCCCGTCTGGGAAGTGAGGAGCGTCTCCGCCAGAAAGCCGCCCCGTCCGGGAGGGAGGTGGGGGTCAGCCCCCCGCCCAGCCAGCCGCCTCGTCCGGGAGGTGAGGGGCGCCTCTGCCCGGCTGCCCCTACTGGGAAGTGAGGAGCCCCTCTGCCCGGCCAGCCGCCCCGTCCGGGAGGGAGGTGGGGGGGTCAGCCCCCCGCCCGGCCAGCCGCCTCGTCCGGGAGGTGAGGGGCGCCTCTGCCCGGCCGCCCCTACTGGGAAATGAGGAGCCCCTCTGCCCGGCCAGCCATCCCGTCCGGGAGGGAGGTGGAGGGGTCAGCCCCCCACCCGGCCAGCCGCCCCGTCCGGGAGGGAGGTGGGGGGGTCAGCCCCCCACCCGGCCAGCTGCCCCGTCCGGGAGGTGAGGGGCGCCTCTGCCCGGCCGCCCCTACTGGGAAGTGAAGAGCCCCTCTGCCCGGCCACCACCCCGTCTGGGAGGTGTGCCCAACAGCTCATTGAGAACGGGCCATGATGACAATGGTGGTTTTGTGGAATAGAAAGCAGGGAAAGGTGGGGAAAAGATTGAGAAATCAGATGGTTGCAGTGTCTGTGTGGAAAGGAGTAGACATGGGAGACTTTTCATTTTGTTCTGTACTAAGAAAAATTCTTCTGCCTTGGGATCCTGTTGATCTGTGACCTTAGCCCCCAACGCTGTGCTCTCTGAAACATGTGCTGTGTCCACTCAGGGTTAAATGGATTAAGGGCAGTGCAAGATGTGCTTTGTTAAACAGATGCTTGAAGGCAGCATGCTCGTTAAGAGTCATCACCACTCCCTAATCTCAAGTACCCAGGGACACAAACACTGCGGAAGGCCGCAGGGTCCTCTGCCTAGGAAATCCAGAGACCTTTGTTCACTTGTTTATCTGCTGACCTTCCCTCCACTATTGTCCTATGACCCTGCCAAATCCCCCTCTGTGAGAAACACCCAAGAATGATCAATAAAAAAAAAAAAAAAAAGAATTTTTAAAATGTGACAAAATGTTAATGTGTTAAGATGGAATAATGAGTCCACATGTATCTATTATATTATTCTCTGTAGTTTTGTGTATATGAAATATATAACATATAATTAAACAATGTTATAAGAGTAAACATTTAACATTTAAAATTTTTTTTTACTTGAATAACACCTTGCATATCACAAAGCAATTTATTTTATCTCTAGATTCTTTTTGAGCATGAGTTAGAAAATATTCGGGGCAGGGAGGAAGGAGCTTTCTCTTACTTGGTGAAAATTATGCCTAGAGTAGTTTTTGTGTGCCTGTACTAGCTTGTATAAGCTTCCTATGTCTAAAAGAACTGAATGGGGGAACATCAAAAGAAGTAATCATTAGAGAACCAAGGTGGTAGGTAGAGGTGAAAGCCAGAACCAATGTCAAGTCAGATCCCCAAGAACATGGTCCCATATCACCTCCAGAATCACCCAGGATGATAGTTAAAAATAAACTCCTGGGCCTGATCCCAGATCTATTTAATTACCACCACCAAGGTGGAACCCAATAATCTGGTTTGTTTGTTTGTTTGTTTGTTTTGAAACGGAGTCTCGCTCTGTCGCCCAGGCTGGAGTGCAGTGGCGCAATCTCGGCTCACCGCAAGCTCCGCCTCCCGGATTCATGCCATTCTCCTGCCTCAGCCTCCAGAGCAGCTGGGACTACAGGCGCCCGCCACCACGCCCGGCTAATTTTTTTGTATCTTTAGTAGAGACGGGGTTTCACCGTGTTAGCCAGGATGGTCTCGATCTCCTGACCTCGTGATCCGCCCTCCTTGGCCTCCCAAAGTGCTGGGATTACAGCCGTGAGCCACCGCACCCGGCCAATAAATCCATATTTTTAACAACTCTGCAAATGGTTACCATGCACATTAAAGTTTGAGAACCACTGAGTTAAATCTTTTCATAGTTTCAAGGCATGTCTCCAAGGAGCCTAGGAACTGTTAGTTTCCCTTCAATGGGACCCCAAATTCATTGAAAAGTCCAATAAAATGTATGAGCTCTTTGAAAGAGAATGGGGGAAAGATGAGGCAGGCATGAAGGCTATGAAACCAGTTGTAGCTATGAACCAGCTATGAAGCCATTCTAAAGGCAACGCTTAGATGTTTGCTTGGAGTACTAGGGAAATCTGCTTATCCTAAGGCTATAGTCAGCCTTATCAACAAGCTGCTGCAAGTGGAACAAACAAATCAAAAGAACTTTGATAACGGATGCAAAGTGCCTAGCATGATACTCAGCTTACCCCACATGGTCAACACTGTACATTGTGGTGATGAATGGCCAAGATCTTTCAAAGCCAATTCCACAAAGGCCTTTCACTGGGCATAGAGATGAAATAAGTAGTTAGGAAACTAGAATGCAGATTCTGAAAAGGAATGAGGCTCTCACCAGGCTCTTGTAATGGTGCCAACCACATCTATCTAGGACCACAGTCTGAGCAGCTTGATCTCATGGTTAACACAGATAGGCAGACTTTGAGGCACACCAAGACACTTTCAGAACCAGATGCTCTCCAATTGCATCAGAGAAATCAAACATAGAAGTACAGACCGGAAACAAGCACGATGAACACTTTATAATACTGGATAATGGTAGCAAACATACAGGGAGAGATTTGATAGTACTTGCAACTTCCGGCTGGGCGTGGTGGCTCATGCCTATAATCCTGGCTCTTTGGGAGGCTGAGGCGAGCAGATCACTTGAGGTCAGGAGTTCGAGACCACCCTGGCCAATGTGGTGACCCCATCTTAAAATTAAAAAACAAAATAATTTGCAACTTTCTGAAATTGCAGTGGAAGAAAAAGCATTAAAAAATTTGATAATCACAGTATTTAAAAGGATTAAAAAAAACATGCACAGTATTTCCACTTGATAGATATAGGAATAATGAGTATCTCCCTCTCCACCAAGACAAGGGTTAGAAGAAGCCCTTGTTGTAAGAATTCCGTTGACCAAATTGAGAGCTTCTTAGAAAACTCAGACTGGAAACTGAGGTTATAACTAAACCCAGAAACCCTTTTATTACACTTGTTAAGGTACTTAACCAAAATGATAAAGATCATATACTTTAAAAGACATCAATTGCTTTTTTCAAAATACATATAATTAATCACCTAAGCTTAATTAATTCCATGGTGTATATGCACCACATTTTCTTTATCCATTTCCCCTTCAATGGGCACCTAGGTTGATTCCATGTCTTTGCTATTGTGAATAGCACTGCGATGAACATACGGGTGCTTGTATCTTTTTGGTAGAATAATTTACTTTCTTTTGGGTATATTACCTTTTCAGGGTAATATATATATTATGTATATTTACCCCTGAACTTTAAACCACAGGCAATAAACACAAAAATAGAAAAATGGAATCACGTCAATTTAAAAACTTCTGCACAGCAAAGAATGCAATTAACAAAGTAAAGACATAACCCATAGAATGGGAGAAAATGTTTGCAAACTATCCATTCAATAAGGGATTAATAGCCAGAATATATCAGGAACTCAACAACTCAATAGCAAAAAAGCAAATAATCAGATTTTAAAATGAGCAAAAGACCTGAATAGACATATCTCAAAAGAAGACATACAAATGACCAACAGGTATATTTTTAAATGCTCAACATCACTAATAATCAGAGAAATGTAAACCCAAACCAGTGAGATATCCTGTCACCCCGGTTAGAATGGCTATTAACAAAAAAAAAGAAAAAACAACAAATGCTGATGAGGTTGTGGAAAAAAGAGAATGTTTATACACTGTGGGAATGTAAATTAGTTCAGCCACTTTGGAAAGCAGTTTGGAGAGTTTTCAAAGAACTTAAACAGAACTACCATTCAACCCGGCAATCCCATTACTGGATATATACCCAAAAGAAAATAAAGTATTCTACTAAAATGATGCAAGCACTCGTATGTTCATTGCAGCACTATTCACAATAGCAAAGACATGGAATCAACCTAGGTGCCCATTGAAGGTAAAATTGATAAAGAAAATGTGGTGCATATACAACATAGACTACTGTGCAGCCATAAAAAAGAACAAAATCAAGTTCTTTGCAGCAACATCCATGCAGCTGGAGGCCATAATCCTACACAAATTAATGCAGGAAAGGAAAACCAAATATCACTTCTTTTCACTTATAAGAGGGAACCAGACATTAGGTACTCATGGACATAAAGATGGCAACAATAGATACTGGAGACTACTAGATGGGGGAGAGAGGGAAGGAGACATTGAAAGGTTGGTTGAAAAACTATTGAGTACTATGCTCAGTACCTGGGTGGTGGGATCAATTGTACTCCAAATCTCAGCATCACACAATATACCCGTCAAACAAACCAGCACATGTACCCCATGAATCTAAAATAAAGTTGAAATTATAAAAACAAAAAAGAAAATGTGGTATATATACACAATGGAATATTATTCAGCCACAAAAAATAAAATCCTGTCATTTGCAGCACCTGGATGAAACTGAAGGTTATTATATTAAGTGAATAAAGCCAGGCATAGAAAGAAAAATGTTTTCACTCAATTGTAGGGGCTAAAAAATTAGACCTCATGAAGGTATGAGATAGAATGGTGGTCACCAGAGGCTGGGAAGGGAAGGAGGAAGGAGGAGGATGAACAGAAGTTGATTCATGGGTACAAAAATACAGTTAGAAGGAATAAGTTCTAGTATTCAACAGTACAATTAGGGAATTGTAGTTAATGACAATTTATTGTATCTTTCAAAATAGCTAGAAGGGAAGAATTGTAATGTTCCAAACACAAAGAAAATGTAAATGTTTGAGGTGATGAGTATCCCAATTACACTGATTCAACAATTACACATTGTATACATGTATCAAAATAGCACACGTACCCCCAAAAAATATATGACTATGATATTTCAATAAAAAATACAAAAAAAGTATATTTACCCCAAATCAGTTTTTTTCATCCTGAACATTTTCAGACTTCCCCTTCAAATTAAATTAAAATACTGAAATTAGTTTTCTGGGGTTTTGTGTTGCAGTTAATATTCTTATTAAGCTTCCTTCAGCATGGCTTCTCCCGCCTCCATCCAAATGCCTGACACCCTCACCCCAGCTCCCACACACCTGTGTGATACTAGAGAAGATTTTTATGGGCTTTCAACTACTGAGGCCCGAGTTACTTTCTCATTTTTTGTTGTCATAGTACAAACTGTAGATTCATTAACAAAAACAAACTCTAAGGGCACTTTTGACTTAGAGGAAGAACATAAAATAGTCACCCTCCGTGTTTTCAAAGCCACTGCACAAGTCACGCTCTTTCCCGAGCTCCTATACTCAAGATCTACTTTTGACTGATCTATAAATATTTATAATTAGCTAAATAGATTATTGGGTAGTATGCAATATTAGTAACATAATATTTAAGGACCAAGGGAAAAATTTTAACTCAGTGGTTGTTGTAAATGTGTTTGAGGGAGAGTTAGCATGAATGTGAACACCTGAATAGGGAACAGCACCAAAAGAATGATTTAAAGCAAGAGCCCCAGAGGCCTAGCTCACCAATGCATCCCAATTTATTATTTTTAAATTCTGTATGAGAAGAAGAAATAGAGAAATAAACAAACATATACTGGGATTTTCCATGTCTCTGTAATGGAAGAGGGATAGAGGGAAAATTTCTACGTCCCTTCCTGTCTTGGTGTTTCTCTTGTTCCAATCAATGGCTTCAATTTTTCCAGGAAGATGAAGTCTTAGTTTTCTTGGACTTTCTTAGTCATTAGTCTTCAGCATCTTACCCCAAATGAAAAGGGATTCTGTGGAAAAAACTGGTCCCCCTCCATCTGCTTTCCTGCTTCTCTGTGAGACAAAAACAGAATGATTACAGTCACATAATGGTTTGGTTTTTGTTTTTTTTTAAATCAACAACATGAACCTACAAAACTGTCTTTTCACTTATTAAAAAAGTACTTTCCTCTACTTGACTGCTTTTGGCTTTATCCTTTTCCATTCTTCTTTTCCAGGAAAACTCACTACAAATTGCTTCATGCGCCTCTGGTCAATACATTCTTTCACTGGATTTACCATGAGCTACCGCTGGTGATTTTACTGAACTTGTTCTTTACTACATATCCCCCCCAAAAAAACCAGTGCTTCTTCCAAAACAAATTATTTTTAAAACATTGAAATATTTACTAGTAGAAATGTGGGTTTCAAACAGCGCTAAAGAGATTTCACCAGCTGGAACAACTAAAGCTGCTGGAGTAAAAGATGAGACAATGGTATCAACAGGGCCAAGAGTTCATTTATTAAGAAACTGAACCCTATCTGTTAAAGATATAATGTAAAATGGTAAAAGGTAGCAAACTAGTGGCAGTAGTAAGATTCATGGAATATGTGGACTGCAAGAAGAGGACAAATGACCATGACCAGGTGGCAACTCAAATCCTAGGTTGGTCACTACATCTTCTACTCTGTCTTATATGCCCTGTGTTATTAGGGAAGCATTATATATTTTAATTATATATTTTAGTCTGTAGGTCAAAGACCTTCTAGTGAATTCTGCCTCTGATAAAGGTATCAATAGGTAATCTCACAACATCCCAGAATACCCAGTATGAATTGACAAGAAAGTAATCACTTGAATGTCTCTTCATCAACAGTGCCCACAAGTGGTATGTTTTTAAAAATTTACACTCTTCAGTGAGGCAACCTTTAAATGCACCTTTAAATTGCATTAAAATCTGAGTGTTTCGAAATCACGGCAGCATATTGTATTGGTCAGCACAGGCTATGTTATATTGCAGTAACAAATAAACCCCCAAGTCTCAATGGCTTAACATCATAAAGGTTTAATTTTTGCTTATCCAGTGCAGTTTGGTAAAGGAGCCCTATCTCAATTTGTCACATAGTATCCCAGGCTGAGAAGGGTTCCATCGTCTTGTGACACTGCCATCTCAACATTGCTGAGGCAGAAAACGAGAGAGCTGGAGACTCATGCAGGGGCTGTTACCTATACACATGTGAAGTCCACTAACAACCCATTGGGCCTAATCAGTGACAAGGTCCCAGATAACTCCAAGGTGGCTGAGAGGGATAGCCCTCTGTGAGTACTAATAATTCTACCATCCAAGTATGGTATTGATTTTACCTAAACAATATTTCATAAGGAAAATGCTCATCTAATTATAAATTTTTTAAAACATTCCTTATCGTAACATATTTTTAAACGTTCAATTTTCTAAACTCTTTATTCTTTAAGCTATTGTAAATATTGCAAATTATGAGTTTCAATTTGAATGTTTTGAGTTTTTGTGTTAACTTTTAAGGTAGTATTTGCATATAAGAAAATCATCATTTTAAGTGTAGAGTTTGATGAGTTTTGGTATTTATATATCATCATATAACTACCACCACAATCAAGATACAGAATATTTCCCTTACCCTAAAACATTTCCTCATTATCCTTTGCAGTTAATCCCAAGCCCCACTCCACCTCTGACTCTAGGTAACCATTAATCTTCTTTTAGCCAAGGTAGTTTTGAATGTTCAGAATTTAATTTGTAGAATTTATTTTATAATTCAAAAGAGAAAATTAAGAATGTTTTGTTCCCTTTTGTAATTCAGGCAGGTTATCTGATAAATATTTAATGCTATTTATCATTCATAATGTTTCTATCATATCATTTAATAGCTGTTCCTTGCATCCAAATAATAACACATGTGCAGCCCAACACACTTTCAGAAGGCAATATCCTGGTGATTGATGTATTTAGAATATGTCCATTGGCTCTACCTATGCCACAGGGTAAAGCAGAAGTGTTCCTTCCTCTTTGTATCCAAAACACTATCAAGAGTGAGCTTAGAGAAATAGTAAGGGCAGTTATGGGGAGGTCTTCCAAATTTTCTTTGAGACTCACAGAAAAACTGCTCTGTATATCAATGAAAGTAGATAGGGATATATCAATGTGTGTGTGTGTGTGTGTGTGTGTGTGTGTATGTGTGTGTGTGTGTGTTGGAGTCACTACAGGGAGCTAATACACGTACTCATTACATTGATGAAAATTCCCCTCCTTCCTTCCTCATCACAGAGCTGTGACGAGAGACCACAGTAAATCCAAGCTTGGAAAATGAGCTGTGTCAGCCCTCCCAAAGACAACCTCCTTGCAACAGGAAGTTGTCAAAGCCCCAGGGACCAGGTGAGTTACCCATCTCTTTCAAAAACAATTGTGATTTGCTCTTACTGTCTTGTGGGGAAAGGAAAGATTGTCAGGAAGGGATTCACCACCATGTTCTGGGCATGCACAGTAGTGCTGGCAGCTTTGTATTCGGGTGCAGTAATGGCAGTCGACAGGGAAATTGTTGAATCAGCAGAAGGACAAAGGACACAGGTAATATAATGTCAGCTACACCTTGACAGAGAAAGAAGGTGGCTGTTTGTGTTCCCGGGGAACCCAAGGACTTGAGGCAGAACACTGATGGTGCTAACTAAGGCGTAAGGCATGTGAAGTACGTGTTCTTATGCTATAACTAAAGATCAATGTATGAAAATTTGCTAATACTTAAAGTGCTTTTTTCCAGAAATCTTCAGGGCAGTCATATGCTTTTGTCAGCAGCATTGCCAGTCTCCACAACATTCCATCATGTTTGAAGTATTCATCTTTTTCTTCAATGGTTCAACAAATATTTAGTAAGCACCTGCTGAATGCAAGGCAAAATACCAGAGTCAAGAGAAGAGCGGCTGGGCACGGTGGCTTATGCCTGTAATCCCAGCACTTTGGGAGGCCGAGACAGGTGGATCACAAGGTCAGGAGTTCGAGACCAGCCTGACCAACATGGTGAAACCCCATCTCTACTAAAAATACAAAAATTAACCCGGGGGTGGTGGCGTGCGCCTATAGTCCCACCTACTCAGGAGGCTGAGGCAGGAGAATTGCTTGAACCCAAGAGGCGGAGGTTGCAGTGAGCCGAGATCGTGCCATTGTACTCCAGCCTGGGTGACAGGGTGAGACTCCATTTCCAAAAAAGAAAAGAGAAAAGCACCATGCCCAGCACTTGGGTTGCCCCAGACAACACTATATTAGTATAAGTACTTTACCTTCACCTTCATCCGCTCTTTCAGGGTCTCTTCTCTCACAGCAACATTACTGCACTCCCAGGACTTTCCACCTTCCCTTTTCCTGACAACTTCTGCTGTAACTCCTCTTCATGATGTGTTCTAGACCACACTTCCTGCACTGATGGAAATGTCCTATTTCTGCACTGTTCAATAGAGTAGTCACTGGCCACCTGTGGCTATCAAGCTTTTGAAATGTAGCTAGTGAGACAGAAACTGAATTTTTAAATTTATTGTTTTAACTTATTCAAATTTAAATAGCCATTAAATACCACATTGGACATCACTGTTCTGGACATTTTCTATTTTTGCATCCTCACTCCCTAATACTTACCTTGCCAATTTTCTTTGGGGTTTTTTTTGTTTGTTTGTTTGTTTGTTTGTTTGTTTGTTTTTGAGACAGAGTCTCCGTCGCCCAGGCTGGGGTGCAGTGGTGCAATCTTGGCTCACTGCAATCTCTGCCTTCCAGGTTCAAGTGATTCTCCCACCTCAGCCTCCCAAGTAGCTGAGACTACAGGCACGTGCCACCACACCTGGCTAATTTTTGTACTTTTAGTACAGACAGGGTTTCACCATGTTGGCCAGGCTGGTCTTGAACTCCTGACATCAAGTGATCCACCCGCTTTGGCCTCCCAAATTGCTGGTATTATAGGCATGTGCCACCACATCCAGCTGTTGCCAATTTTCTTCTAGATAGCAACAAGTTAATATAGTGATTTCATGCATTAATGAGTGTTTCAGTGAAGGAACCCCTTATGTATTGTACTGGGTTGGATAGAGTCCCCCCAAAGTTCATGCCCTTCACAGAACCTCAGGTTTGTAAACTTATTTGGAAATAAGGTAATTTAAGATGCAATTAGTTAAGATGAGGTAATGCTAGAGTAGAGTGAGCCCTTAATCTAATACAACATGGATCTTTATAAGAAAAGGAGAAGATAGGCACAGAGAATGCCATGGAAAAGAAGAGGCTGAAATTGTAATGATGCATCTACACGCCAAGGAGAGCCAGTATCATTGGCACCACCCAGAGCTGCGAGAAAAGCATGGAACATACCCTCCCCTAGAGCCTTCAGCAAGAGCATGGCTCTGCTGACATCTTGATTTCAGACTTCGAGCCTCTAGAACTATGAGAGAATACATTCCTGTTTTTTTTTTTTTTTTTAGCCACTCAGTCTGGTAATTTCTTAAGGCAGCCCTAGGAAATGAATACAGGTACTTAGATTGGCTTCATCTTTATCTTTACTCTTATGTTATTTAATAAAGACTTTATGGTCTTGGATTTGTCCCCCAAATTATTCATGGTGAAAAGGGTACTCTACCCATGGTAGAGTAACTAGCAATAAGGATATTTAAGAACAGTAAAGGACAGGTGGTACCTTGATAAACTGAGAGTTTCCCATTTCTTCCTGTCTAGATTTTCTCCCTCACCAGACTTTACCTCAGAAGGCTGCTATACGTAGCCTGAGACCTATTCTGAATCAAGGATGTGACTTAAGTCTTAGAAGCAAGCCTGGCTTCTGTCTGCAGCCCATTATTGACCTAAGGCTGCTATGATCACATTAAGAAAATAAAGCATTATTCATCCAGAGAAAAAGTATGACAAGTAATCATGTGTCATTACTAAAATATAATATTCCTAAAGCAGCTTTCCTAAAACTTATGGAAATACATACATATACATGCGCATGGATATTATGTGTGCATATAATGAATGTGTGTATAAATGTGGATATGTATGAGTGTATATTGTATGGGTACATCACTGAAGTGAAATCTGTTTTTCCTGAATGACTGAGAGTTCTTTCAGAGAACCTGGAATCCTCTAGAGTGAGCCACACACTGGCCTCTCAAAGAGACAGCCTGGAGTAAGTTAAATATACATTGAAGTCAACCCTGAGGACACCACCAGGATGATCTAGAATTGCCCTGAGGGAGAATCAAAGGCTCCAAGGCTCACATTTCTGTACTGTACGTGTTGAGGAAGCTAAAAGTTTAGAGCAAAACCGTATCCAATACACCACAGTCCACTCCTCTGCTACGGACTTCACATTATTTCCACAAACAAGCTTTGCTGCCGTAATATTCATATTCAGCTAGATATGTCAATTTCACAGTTTTAAAATATGCAGGGAATGTGAAATTTTTAGGGACAAGTGTTTGTTTCACCTCAGAGAGATTTTGGGAGCTGGTGTCTGGCTGTTCAGATTCCCTGGAGCAAACAGACCCAGTGAGAGAAACCACAGGGATTTGCCAGAACCCAGAAAGGCAGACAAAACCCATGGAGACCTCTCTCTCAGAGGGCCACAGTTGCAATAGAAAAACAACTGTTTTTACATATACATGTACATCTCAGAGGCAGCGGCAGAATGAAAGCCTTACTAAGAGAGATGTCTCCTGTGTCAGGAAAGACCTTATTAGACCATAATTGATGGAATCCAAGACAGGTTGCAGAGAATGCCCCTGCATCTCAGAGAGTTGCACGGCCTTCCCATAAATTTCGCTGATGACATTGATCCCAGGCCTGGAAACCTTTGTGGGGGCTGTATTGTTAGGCTTCATTAGATTCCTACTGTTTTCCAGAAAGCTATCTGCTATAAATTGTTATTGATAAATGTTGGAACCCAATTCTGGTATTTTCAGAGACTGTGCAACCTGAAAACACCACACATGTGGTACAGAATGAGAAAAGGCAGACAAACTGACAGGTTTGTTCACATCGACTGTAGCTTGACAAGCAGCAGGGAATTCCAGCCTCCCTAAAGAGAGGTTGTTCGTTCAGCTGATGCACATTTGCCCCTCTGATTACTGCCAGTGTTCTCTGCAAGGGAGCAAAAGCTTTGGTAATTGGCTGCTTTGGGTGAGTTTCAGAGGTTTGTGGGGTTTCAGAACCCAGTCACTTTGTTTCTATCAGAGTCCTACTGCTGATCTGGCTCTGACCTAAAAGGAGATTTTAAAGAGAACAATTATACTGTAGATTGAGAAATACCTACAATAATAGTTGGGGGTGTGGGGGTTTCGTGAAAGAAAATGTGAAGAGAATACAGTGTAGAAGTTTTATGTCCTAGAAGAGCCTGATTTTTATTCAGAAGACATTGTCTATGTATTCTGTATAAAGTCAGGACAACTTTTTTTTGTTGTATGTGCCTAAGATGTATAAGGCTCTTTGGATGCATATTTTAAAACTATGGTTGCATGGTTCCAAAAAGAACTGATGTGCTTCCAATAAGTGGAACTCCATGCCACACAGAGGGTGGTAGAAGACCTGCACTGTGTGATGTGTGTATTTAGCATGAACCTAGTAAATACTTTTCTTTAACAGCTTTTCTTTACCTTCTGAGGCTTCAGTTGTGACCTTGGGCATTTGGCCTATGAAGTCCTACTTTTCCATCAAATATATTCTTATTTCTCAAATACACATGAGGGGCACTTTTTTTAAAA
The DNA here is from genome assembly GCF_000001405.40 of Homo sapiens. Classification (NCBI taxonomy): domain Eukaryota; kingdom Metazoa; phylum Chordata; class Mammalia; order Primates; family Hominidae; genus Homo; species Homo sapiens. The sequence continues at coordinate 83,931,267 of NC_000004.12, read as the reverse complement.
GTCAGTAAATTCAGAAATTCCCTATTTTCACTATATAGATTTGCTCAAGTATCATTCTTCTCTGAAACCTTCTAGCTTCTCTCATAGAAAATCTAAATCAGAGTTTATAAAATGGTAGGATCATGCAATGTATTCACAACTGAGCTATTTTAGTGCTTAGAATGGGATATGGTGTATACCCAATATATTTCAATGTGTATTAAAGTATGTTTTAAAAATAGTAGCTTTATATTGAATAAAATCTTATACGTTGGTACTATATATAACAGCAGAATGAAAAATGTTATTTTCTATTTTCAGGGGGCAACACTAGTAATCATTTATTTTGTTTCTTTAAAAATGTGGTTGTTTTGAATTTGAAATCTGATGTCCAGAATGTCTTAATATGTCATATAGTGTTCTACTACTCTTAGCATGACATTTCAAAAAGTAATAGAGTATCTAAGATCTTCTTAAGCTTCTCATTTATTAAAATTAATAGAGATATATGCACAGCTTTGTAATTACTTATTGTACCTAAATTTGTGATTATACCAAATTTGAAGACGAAATAGTCACAAGTCACGCACCAAAATTTAAAAGTGTAGGAAATCATACTTTAACAATTGATCATACAAATAACTAGGAAGTAGTATAAGTAGTAGTTAAGATCAAGAATCTCAACACCAGAGATACCTGAATTCAAGCCCCTGTTCTGCCACCAAGTGTTTCTGTGAACTAGAGTCTCAGTTTTGCAATCCATAAAATGGGGATAATAACACTTCCTACAGGTTTCTGTGTGTGAGAGAGAATCAAATAAAACACTTTTAACATGCTTTTTGTAGTATATAATACATAGTAAGTAGTATTTGCTAGCCATTAATTTTTAATAACATTCATAATGAAAACATACATATAAAGAGCATCTCTAGGCGTACAATTTAAACAAACTTCAGGCACTGGTGGATGATTAAAAAAAAAAAAAAAAAAAAAACAGCCAGGCCTGAATTAGTGGAAGCCTCAGAAGTGAGGAACAACCAGCTGGAGAGTGGTGTGTGCAAACTGGACCGGTAGGAGGGTCATGGCTAAACTGATCATCTGTGGAGTACCACATTCATGATACAAATGTTTGCTCCTCAAATCCTTTTAACTTTAGTGAACAAACAAATATTCCCAAAATTCAGTGAAGGTTTTCAACATAATTGCCAAAATAAAGTGTGTGTGTATATGTGTGTGTGTGTGTGTGTGTGTGTGTATACATATATATATGTATATATACATAAAACAATTCTTTGCTTAAACTCAATAAAGGGAACATGACTACACTGCTCCTTTCCAAAAAGTGCATTCACTTTGGGGGTATGATGACAAATGTAAAGTTAGCTAAGAAACGTCTTAGCTAGAAATGTTGGCTGATATTCAAATAGGCGTCACTTTGATCAAGAAAATTACAAGTGCAAACACTTGTCATTGTTTAAGTGTAACCAAAGTAAACTTATGGTTATTACCTAGTATTACGTGGCCACAGAAACTGTTCATGCAAAGGTTACCAATTACCTCCTGAGGTCAAGCCGGTGAACATTTGTAAATTCTGATTCTGCATGGCCTTTCTGTGGCATTACCTGCACACTATTTCTATAACACTACTGCTCATTCTAACTCTGCTTTCTCAGCCTTCTAGGAATCCTCATAACTTTTGGGGGGCTGCTATTTCTGAAGATTTTGTCCTCTGCCTGCATTTTATAACTAATACTCTCCCAGGGAAAGCTTAACCACTCCAATCACTTCAATTATCCTCATGCTGACAAGTCCTGTATATGTAGTCATTTTTCCTGAACTCCAAATACATATTCCTAATTTCCTTTGGACCTCTATATCCAGCACACTGACACTAGATATGAGAAGTATTCTCCTGTTGTTTATAATCAGTTTATCATTTAGTGTATTGTTATGGAATTGTCATACTCTGGAGAAAGAGTCAATAACCTTAGTCCTTACAACCAGCCATAAGTGAGGCAAGTCTCTCAGACAAGAAACCAGAACCCCAGAGGAAGAACCAATCTGAAATTTTCTCTGGTCTCTGTACGAGGAAAAAACAAAAAAAAAGACAACACTACTAAGAGCCAGTTTGGGGGTGCTGGAAATTACTATGGGGCTGTTCCACTGTTTTGTAACATTGGACAGCCTTGCTACTTTCATTCTTTTTTCATGTATTCTGTCCTTCTGAGTTTCTATCCAGCTGTCATAAATTCATGCAATAGCAACACATATCACTTCCTTTAAATATAATTTCCTGTTCACATGGTCTTGATAAATTAGTGTTGATTACCTGTAGTTTTTAAGTCCAAATATGTGATTAGAAACTATTTAAAGACAGGGTTCATTTTACCTCATCTGCATTACCAACTATCCCATTATTCACTCAAAGTAAATTTAAAATTTCATAACACCTCTATGAATTGCGCCTTCATCTACCACGTACACCTGAGATGTATCTTAATTCTCTAATAAAATTGCTAAGAGAGAGTTAGCTAGAATTGGTGAGAATCACTTGGGCTCTAGGAGGGGGCAATAATCTATAAATTTAAATACACAAAGCATCATCTCGCTCTTGTGATTGTGATTAAATTAGCCTTTGTGTCTGTGCTCACAATGTCATGTAAAACATACACAGAAAGAAAGGCAACTCTCTTTCATGAGTAAATGTTATAATTTGATATAATAAAAGAGAGCTCAGCCAGTGAAGGGGGTTTCTTTGTCCCTTTAGAACCTTTAAACCTATATTGTGCCCAAGGTACTCAGACATACACACACAGAGAGACAGTATTGATTTCCAGAATTTCTCTATGGAATGCCAAAAATAATAAACAAAAAATAAATCAAAAGCAACAGGCTCCTTCCATTATGTATTAAATATCCTCCCCATGAAGTTAGGACAAATAGAGATGTATATAGAAAGCAAGGGAAACATAAATCTAGTGTAGTCATCGATTTCTGCCTTGTTCCTTTATTTCTAGTAAATAATGATCTTCAGATCTTTCATGGTGGCACTATAGTAAAAGTCAGTTCTAGGAACCTTGGAAGTGTTTTATCTTTGAAAGAGCCAATGATACTGCCTCCTCTCCAAAATCATTGCATTCATTCATTTCTTGTTATGGAATGAAAACAACGTTTAGTAGAATCAGAAGAAATTGACAAAAGATAGTCGCTATAAGAGCTTTCTGAACAGTTATGTATACAGTCAATAAAACATTTTATATTGTCCTGTGTCAAATTAGAAAAAAAGGATTTCCCCAGAAAATGTGGCCCCTGAATATTACCATTAAGTTACTAAAAATAAAAATACTATAGATATGGATTACTAGAAAAACAATTTTAAAAATCTTAAATATTAAGTATACCTGATTGGACCTGAGGCTCAGCCCAAGCTGAAAATTCTTAGCTAACAAGATAAAAAGAGAAATAATTTAATCTACTTAGATGTATGAATTCAGTAAGCAAAGACCACTACTGCCATTTTATACAGACCTCTATATTCCCTCCCATTGCTCATTTCTCAGCAAATTCATAGGATGATGCATGACCAAGCCAGGTCATTAGATTTTAGAGCACATGAGAAGATGCCAATATATTTACAAGATAAACAATTAAGGGTGAATTCTGAATCTGGCAGTTAATTATCTATATGCCTTGAAAAAAGAATCACGTAACCTTTCTATATAATGAGGTAGCATGGCAATATACATGGGAAGTAATAGATAACTGTCAAGCATCTATTTAAGCCATGTGGCTTGTATATCTTAGTTTGAAATCAAGATGCTTTCTGGGATCTAAAGGAAGGCATCCCGAGAGGAAAGAAGGGAAAGAGACATAGAGAAGGTTAAGATTCAGAGTAGTTTGATAATACAAGGATAAGTCTTATAACTTGAGTCTTTTCTTTCCTTTTATTATTATTATTAGTTGTTGTTATTTCCAGTGGCAGCCTCTCACGAGGTGAGCACAAATGTCTTCAGTGGCATAGTCACCAAAGCTCACATACATCTTAATAAATCCAGTTACTTCAGTGAATCATTCTAAGCAAGACTCCTGCTTTGTTCCAGCTCCTCACTTCAGGATATGCACTTTTTATAAAGGGCTGTGTTTCTCTTACACAGAGATGTAGGTACTAAATTTCTGTGGGACCTTGTAGGTGGATGTCAAAAATAAAATAAATGCTGAATGAATCTTTTAGAGAAATCAATTGTGTCAACCACAGATTTTCTGGGTCAGTAGGTTGGATGTAATAGAAGTAGTGACAGATGCCTAGGATGATGACTTTTGTAGTTACCAATCAAGCCAGTCAAAAGCACAGTGTTTAAAAGGAGCAGTTATCCTACAACCAAAGAGGTGAGAAGAAACTACATGTTTCACATAATAAATTAAATTTGTGATGCCATCAATGAAGAGCCCTTCACATTCCTCCGACATTCCTCCCCCTGCAAAATTATACCCATCACCTTGGGTAGCTGTGCCTTATGGTCTACTAAAGTCCATGGCCTCAATTATATATTAATACAGCTTTACAGTTCTTAGGTAGGGATTTTTTTCTTTTAACAAAAATCTTGATATTTGTCCCCTACACTCTCACTTTGACCCAACAATCATCCTGTGAAAGAGGTGCCACTAGTGACAATTCAATTTGCTTTTTCAAGAATTTGCAAATGTAGGCAAAGTCAACGGGAATAATGCATCCTTCATGCAACTTTTACATTAAGAAGATGTGAGCTTTATTGGATTAGTCTCATAGAGGCAAGAACAGTAAAAACTAAAAATGACATGTTAGCTAATCATTACTTTGACAATAATTGTCATGAACAGAATTTTTTTATAGATTTTGGATGTAGCCTTGGAAGCAAAAAAGACTCAGATGCTGTGTTGGCCTGAGCTAAAAGGATTTTTTAAAATTTAATCTTTAAGAAGCTCCCGAGATACAGGCTAAAAGAGTTTATAAAGGTCATAAAAAAATTAACTTATCTTGCTGACTGAAGCTTTTTTAATGCACTCTAAGTTACAAAGGAATCGCATCTGGAGCCTTTAGGCCAATGGTCTACTATATTTTTCTCTCATTAGTAAGGACAGCAAAAATCTGCATTTGGATTTTTACCACCGTAATCATCTCTGGTTCATTAGTCTTCATGATTGAATATGAGGAGAGCATGGAGCCAGTGGTGTAGGAATATTTTGTACTTATCTCATTTGCTCACACTGCAGTTCGGGAGGCAGCAAGAATCGTGGGAGGATCTGGGCCGGCTACTGGGGCTTAAAGTGGTCAAGGAAGAGTCAGACTGACTTCTATCAGGCCTGTCTGGAAGAAAAAAAATATACAATGAAAGGTCTTTAATGAAGGACTATTACTTAGGTAAAGCAAAATTTACTCTTCTCTTGATGTTTAGCATCAGAAACAAAATTGGCTGGAGACATCATCGTAATGGGCAGCTAGATCCAGAGGAATCTCACCTTGATAAATTTCAGCTTCCTCAACCATATATTGGAGATAATAAGCTGGCCTTAGTTATTTCACAGGCAGTTGTAAGGCATGTATGAAATAATATATATAAAATATTTTATTGTGATCAATCTCCATATAAACATTGTGCATTTTCATCATATTGACCATGATGGGTTAGAAAATCGGCAATTTCATGCAATACTTCTAAGAGTAAAACTTTCTACAAACTAGAGAGTATTCTATATATTTTTATCAAGGGCTTTTCTTAAGGGAAGCATGGCCTCTGGCTTGGCAATTCTGTTACTGGAAATTAATCTTACAGGAATAAGAATGAAGAGAATGATGTACAAGTGTGCCATCAAAAAATTGTTTACAAGAATAAAAACACTAGAAACAATTTAAATGTCCAACAAAGGGGATGAATAAAATAAAGTGTGGGTAAATAACATTCTATACATAATTAGGAATGATTATGTAAATTTGTATTTATTGGCCAAGAATAGAAGGATATTTCACCCAGTATTGTTAATAGGTATACTGAGCATGTTATAAAACACTAAAGATAGTGTTAAAAAGGACAAAGAAAAATTCTTGAAGAAAATTAGAAATGCACAAAAGTATTAGTAATGGTTGTCACTGGATAAGGATTATAGAGGATTTCACTTTTTCCTTTGTGTTACTAAGTATCGCCTGATTATTTTTATTTTTTATTTTTTAATTTAATTAATTTATTTATTTATTTTGAGAAAGGGTCTCACTTTGTCACCCAGGCTGGAATACAGCGGCATGATCACAGCTCACTGCAGTCTCAACCTCCCAGGCTCAGGCCATCCTCCCACCTCAGCCCCCCAAGTAGCTGAGACTATAGGTGTGTGCTACAAGGCTTGGCTAATTTTTAATTTTTTGTAGAGACAGGGTCTCACTGTGTTGCCTAGGCTGGTCTCAAACTCCTGGCCTCAAGCAATCCTCCTGTTTTGACTTCCCAAAGTGCTGGGATTATGGGCATGAGCCACCATGCCCAGCCCGTTTTTGTAATTAGCCACAAAAATAGAAGTTACTTCCACTTTGGAAAAATAATAGCCCAGGCTTGCAAGTTCAAATTTGGCATGAAAATTCAAATTTGACGTTAAGTAGCATATTAAAAACATGAAGACCATGGTTATGCCCAAAAGACACATATATAAATATAGTTGTACCTTAGTTTAAATTAACCCAGTTGACACAATGAGGATTTTCTAAAGTCAAGGACTGTATCTAATCCTTTGTTCCTTTAGCATCAGCAGTGCTAGGCACATGGCAGATTCTTAATAAATATTTTTTAAATGAATGAATGAGAATTTTATAAGAAGAATAACCTTAAGAATCTTTTAAATAAAACAATCTCTGCCACAATGAAAACAAGATTCGATTTTTAAAAATCTGTTTACATACAGTACATAAAGAAATATAGCATAATGGATGAAAGAACACGAATGACTAGACTGCCTGAGTTTGAGGCCCAAATACACCACATAGCCAAGGCATGTTACTCAACCTTTTTCCCCTCTTTTACGAAAAAGGTAATAATAGTATCAACTTCAGTTGTTGATAAATGAATAATCCACAAAAAGTATTAAACACAATGCCTTGTAGATTCTTCCTAAAAGTTGTGATTAATGTTGTTTTTACTGCTGTTGTTGTCATCGTTGTTGTTGTTCAATTCATCATTGTTTAAAAGTGGGCTTTCAGGGGGAGACAATTCAGTGAACAAGTTGGCCAAACTGGATGTTTGGCATTGCACTGACACACTTTGAGGCCTCTCAAGATGAGAGACCGGCTTGAATTACTGTCATTTGGCTCGTCTTAAGACTGCTGAGCAAAACCAATGAACACTTATCAGGCCTCGGTTTTAAAAATGTCTATAGGATTTTTTTAACCCAGCTGTACCACTGGTTTAGGCATTTCTCCTAATGCTGAAGTCTTCTCTTTGCTGGAATTTTGATTGGGCTGCCTCCTTTAACCTAAATTATTTTTCAAATTAAAAAGCTTCCAATAAGCTAACCTTTAACAGGGAGGTTATATGGGGTGCTTCTCTGAAGTCAATTGCATTCTTCTCATTAGTATTCATAACAAGATCCCCTAACAATTGAGGATATTACATAGCTGGACAACAAAACATAATTTTTATGAATAAGAAAATCCAGCATAATCTGTTTGGCAACTTTTTTGTTAGAGATCTTGCTAGGGTTTTTATTCACTTTGGCTAAACCCTGTGATTGCGTTAGAGGTTCATGGCATTCTCATTATTTATTACAACTTGTTCCACATAGGGGTCATTCTCTTCTACCCTTTTTAATCATAATGATGACAGTTGAGAATTGACATTGTGCACTATTGTGTACTGTCAAATGCATAACAAATACCTTAATCAGGCTTAAATAGCTCAAGAACCACAACTATTTATTGCAGGTCAGAGGCAAATTTCTGGGGATGGCAAGTGGAGATGTGAGGATATTAATTTCAATATGCCCCGCCTCAAATGATAGCACCTAATTTGATCAAACATTTGCTTCATTTTATATGAAACTATGTCTCTTCTACAGTAGCAATAACCTGGATCAAATAATCTAGCAGAGACAACTAGAATTAATAACCAGACTATACTAGCGATTTTGTTGACTTAATACATTTACAAAATCAGAAACTTGGTGAATTTAATATAGCTAATTTCCTTAATATGCTTAAGAATCTTAAGAAAGAACAATATCTTTTGTGCATTTGCTTAGTGATAAATAGATTCTGTCATTGCAACATGCACTCTTCTTTCTTTGATTTCTGAGAGCAAAGAAGAAATTTTCAAAATGGAGTCTTCATTCCTTCCCTAGTAGCTATTTCTAAGGTTCATGTGATTTCTGCCATACTGGTAGTAATGCCCCTTAAAGGAGGTGCATGTTACATTTTAGAAAATGATCACTAAAGGGCCACTTTTTGTTTCCCATTAAAATAGATTTATTTCAAATGTAGAGGGTAGTGATAACAGATCACATTTCCACATTGCCTGACAGATAGGATTAACTACCTGAAGGCTCTGTTTCAAAACTAAAAGGGTGCTTATGGCTCCTTAACACTTTTAAAGCAAACTCTTTGTGTCTGCTCTAAGCATGCTAAGGTGGAGGGCATTTATTTCCACAGCAGGAGGCCCATGGCAACACTCAATCGCTCTTACTTCACATTTATTATGCTAAATGACCAATGCACACTTAATCACTTGGCCTGAGAGAGGTGGCTAAGGGGATGCAGGTTTTCTCTGTAAGGGTATTGATGGAGTGGCTTAGAGATCAGCCTGCTTGGTGTTTCAGTCAATTAGAAAACACCTTATCCATGAAGTGGACTGACTGTACTTTCAAAATAAACTTGGATAAGACTGGATGCTGTTCTATTCCAATACGAATCTTTAAATCATGATCAACGAGGTCAATGTACCTTCACTTAGCTGTTTGCTCTATTTGGGATATGGTAAACTCTGGCTCTCTGTAATGATTTCTAAAAATATTAGTGTAATAATCAGGATGATAAATGCCAAGAACTTTCATGCTGATTTTATAACCACAGCAACCACTTAGAAATATTTTGTTTCTCCTTTTTCTCCCAACTCCAAGTAACTCACTCAACTTTACCCAAATTACTATGTGTGAAATAAAAGGCTTACAATAGCAGGTGTCTGTAAATTGAATTTTGAGCTCAGGTAAAAGATATGCAACTACATTACATTCTATTTTATAAAAGCATTGATCTTTTCAAGATAAAGGAAAAAAATTAAGTTTTTTGAGGTTTATTGTTAACTTCTCTGACTCTTTTGTTCACTCAATCAAAACCTCAGAATCATCTTCAACCTTCTCATCTTGTTCACCAGTCTGTTGCCAAGTCTATGGATTCTACTTGCGTAATACTCTGTCTCTTCTTATGAGTTCCCACTGCTCCTCTTTTTTTAGGTTATTGTTTCTTCTCTTTAGGATTAACCAGTCTCCTTAATACCAATCTCTGTTCTTTAATCTATCTTATACACTGTGACCACATAAAGCTTCCAAAAGTGCAGAGTAGATCATGTCATTTCCTTGCCCCCAGATCCCTAATGACTCCATATTGCTTAATTTTTAAAATAAACTGCTTAGGCCGGGCGCAATGGCTCATGCCTGTAATCCCAGCACTTTGGGAGGCCAAGGCTGGCGGATCACAAGATCAGGAGTTCAAGACCAGCCTGGCCAACATAGTGAAACCCCCTTTCCACTAAAAATACAAAAAAAATTAGCCGGGCATGGTGGCGGGCACCTGTAAGCCCAGCTACTACTTGGGAGACAGGCAAGGAGAATCGCTTGAACCTGGGAGGCGGAGGTTGTAATGAGCCGAGATCAGGCCACTGCACTCCAGCCCAGGCGACAG